>NC_000024.10:4841176-5141586 GCF_000001405.40 Homo sapiens | reverse complement strand
TTCTGTTCCATTGATCTATATCTCTGTTTTGGTACCAGTACCATGCTGTTTTGGTTACCATTAAAAAGTCAGGAAACAACAGGTGCTGGAGAGGATGTGGAGAAATAGGAACACTTTTACACTGTTGGTGGGACTGTAAACTAGTTCAACCATTGTGGAAGTCAGTGTGGCGGTTCCTCAGGGATCTAGAACTAGAAATACCATTTGACCCAGCCATCCCATTACTGGGTATATACCCAAAGGACTATAAATCATGCTGCTATAAAGACACATGCACACGTATGTTTATTGCGGCACTATTCACAATAGCAAAGACTTGGAACCAACCCAAATGTCCAACAATGATAGACTGGATTAAGAAAATGTGGCACATATACACCATGGAATACTATGCAGCCATAAAAAATGATGAGTTCATGTCCTTTGTAGGGACATGGATGAAATTGGAAACCATCATTCTCAGTAAACTATCGCAAGAACAAAAAACCAAACACCGCATATCTCACTCATAGGTGGGAATTGAACAATGAGATCACATGGACACAGGAAGGGGAATATCACACTCTGGGGACTGTGGTGGGGTCGGGGGAGGGGGGAGGGATAGCATTGGGAGATATACCTAATGCTAGATGACACGTTAGTGGGTGCAGCGCACCAGCATGGCACATGTATACATATGTAACTAACCTGCACAATGTGCACATGTACCCTAAAACTTAGAGTATAATAATAAAAAAAAAAAAATCAGTTTGATTTACCAGGAGGTTTAATAAAACAAAAATTCCCTGAAATAATTTGTAACTTTCCTTTATTAAAAGTGAAAATTCCACCATTAGTACAAAATGTGAAAAAAACACATTTTTTTTTTTGCAGTAAATATCCTCATAGCAATGTTCCTGAAACAGATTTTAGATCAAGTACACTGTCTCTCAATCAACAACGTCTTAGTCTACACCTAACTTATTGTTATGTATCATTATCAAGATGTGCTTCTCCTCATATCATCCAATGTTTAGGTGCAAAATAAACATATTCTTCCTAGAGGTTTAGCACATATACACTGTGTTGGAAAAATTCTACTTAATATAAACATTTGAATCAGAATTTCAATTAATAATATGTGGCATTCTGCTTGTAATATTACTCAGTAAATGCGCAACACTTTTATACTTGATCTCCTCAAGATGAAAACAACACAGAGAGAAATTCCAGCAAAAATAAACTACTTTTCTTCCCAAAAAGGAAGTTTAGCCTAGGAGATTAACAAATAATAATAAATAATAATGGGAGACTCTAGGCAATGAACCCAGCCCAGCCTGCCTAAACTTCTGACTTACAGAACTGTGAGATAATAAATTAGTAGTTTTAGGCTTCTAAGTTAGTGGTAATTTATTACGCAACTTCCAAAACTAATACACATTCATTTTTTTAGATAAAGAAACTGAGACCCACAAGGTCCACAAATACAAAATGATGTGTCTCTCTTCAATAATCACATCCTACCTGATACATGTTCTGTTCTGTTGGTCTACATGCCTGTTTTCATACCAGTACTGTGCTGTTTTGGTAACTATAGCCTTGTAGTATAGCTTGAAGTCTAGTAATGTGATGCCTCCAAGTTTGGTTATTTTTGCTTAGTCTTGCTTTGGCTATGCAGGGTGTTTTTTTTAATTCCATATGAATTTTAGGATATTTTTTTTCTGGTTCTGTGAAGAATGATTATGGCATTTTGATGGGAATGGCATTGAATCTGTAGATTGCTTTTGGTAGTATGGTGATTTTCACAATATTGATTCTACCCATCCACGAGCATGGGATGTGTTTCTAT
Source organism: Homo sapiens (assembly GCF_000001405.40). Classification (NCBI taxonomy): domain Eukaryota; kingdom Metazoa; phylum Chordata; class Mammalia; order Primates; family Hominidae; genus Homo; species Homo sapiens. Next base: position 5,139,758 of record NC_000024.10, on the reverse strand, counting down.
TTGTGTTGTCGATGATTTCTTTCAGCAGTGTTTTGTAGTTTTCCTTGTGAAGATCTTTGACCTCCTTGGTTAATTATATTCCTAAGGATTTTTTTTTTTTTTTTTTTTTTGCAGCTGCTGTAAAAAAGATTGAGTTCTTGATTTGTTTCTTAGCTTGGCTGTTGTTGGAGTATAGCAATGCTACTGATTTGTGTACAATGATTTTGTATCCTGAAACTTTACTGAATTCGTTTATAAAATCTAGGAGTGTTTTGGATAAATCTTTAGGGTTTTCTAGGTATACAATAATATCATCAGTGAACAGCGACAGTTTGATTTCCTGTTAATCAATATAGATGCACCTTGATTCCTTTATCTTGTCTGATTGATCTGGTAGGACTCCCAGTCCTATTTTGAAGAGAAGTGGTAAAACTGGACATCTTCGTCTTGTTCCAGTTCTCAGGGGGAATTCTTTCCAACCTTCCCCATTTAGCATAATGCTGGCTATGTGTTTGTCACAGATAGCTTTTATTACCTTGAGGTATGTCCTTTGTATGCCAATTTTGCTGAGAATTTTAATCATAAGCGGATGCTGGATTTTGTCAAATATTTTTCTGCATCTATTGAGAAAATCATGTGATTTTTGTTTTTAATTCTGTTTATGCGATGTATCACATTTATTGACTTGTGTATGTTAAACCATCCCTGCATCATTGGTATAAAACCCACGTGATCGTGGTGGATTATCTTTTTGATATGCTGTTGGAATCAGTTAGCTATTATTTTGTTGAGGATTTTTGCATCTATGTTCATCAGGGATATTGGTCTGTAGTTTTCTTTTTTTGTTACGTCCTTTCTTGATATTGGTATTAGGGTGACACTTCATAGAATGATTTAGGGAGGAATCACTCTTTCTCTGTCTTTGAGTATAGTTTCAGTAAAATTTGTACCAATTCTTTTTTGAATGTCCGATAGGATTCAGCTGTGAATCTGGTCCTGGACTTCTTTTTGTTGGCAATTTTTTATTATTGTTTCAATCTTGCTACTTGTTGTTGGTCTGTCCAGAGTTTCTATTTCTTCCCAATTTAACGTGGGAGGGTTGCATGTTTTCAGGAATGTATCCATCTCCTCTAGATTTCCTAGTTTTTGTAGAAAAATGTGTTCATAGTAACCTTGAATGATGTTTTGTATTTCTGTGTATTGGCTGTAATATCTCCTGGTTCATTTCTAATTGAGCTTATTTGGAACTTCTCTATTCTTTTCTTGGTTAATCTCACTAACGGTCCATCCATTTGTTTATCTTTTCAAAGAACCAGCTCTTTGTTTCATTTATCTATTATATTTTTGTTTCAATTTCATATAGTTCAGCTCTGGTCTTCGTTATTTCTTTCCTTCTGCTGGTTTTGGATTTGGTTTGTTCTTGTTTCTCTAGTTCCTTGAGGTGCAACCTTAGATCATCTATTTGTGCTCTTTCAGACTTTTTGATGTAAGCATTTAATGCTATGAACTTTCCTCTGAGTACTGCTTTTTTTGTATCCCAGAGGTTTTGTTAAGTTGTGTTACTATTATCATTCAGCTCAAAGAATTTTTAAATTTCATTGTTGACCCAAAGATAATTCAAGAGCAGATTATTTAGTTTTCATGTATTTGTATAGTTTTGAGGATTCCTTTAGGAGTTGATTTCCAGTTTTATTCCACTGTGGTCTGAGAGGATACTTGATATAATTTTTTTCTTAAATTTATTAAGACTTGTTTTGTGACCTATCACATGTTCTACTCTGGAGGATATTCCATGTGCTGAAAAAAAATGTATAGTCTGAAGTGGTTGGGGAAATGTTCTGCAAATATCCATCAAGTCCATTTGTTCTAGACTATGGTTTAATTTCACTGTTTATTTTTGATTTTTTGCCTCGATGACCTGTCTAGTGCTGGCAGTGGAGTACTGAAGTCCTGCACTATTATTATGTAGACATCTATCTCATTATCTCATTTCTTAGGTCTAGTAGTAATTGTTTTATAAATTTGAAAATTCCAGTGTTAGGTGCGTATATACGATTGTGGTATTTTCCTGTTGGCCTATTTCTTTTATCATTATATGATGTCCCTTTTTGTTTTTTCTTCGTGTTGTTGCTTTAAATTCTGCTTTGTCTGATATAGGAATAGCTACTCCTAGTTGCTTTTGGTTTCCATTTGCATGGAATGTTTTTTTCCACCCCATTACCTTAAGTTTATGTGAGTCCTTATGTGTTAGTGAGTCTCTTGAAGACAGCAGCTACTTGGTTGGTGGATTTTTATCCATTCTGCCATTCTGTATCTTTTAAGTGGAGCATTTAAGCCATTCACTTTCAGTGTTAGTATTCAGATGTGAGGTATTGTTTTACTCATCATGTTAGTTGTTGCTTTAATACCTTGCATTTTTGCTGTTGCATTAATGTTTTATGGGCCCTGTGAGATTTATGCTTTAAGGTGTTTCTATTTTGGTGTATTTTAAGGTTTTGTTTCAAGATGTAGAACTCCTTTTAGCATTTCTTGTAGTGCTGGCTTAGTAGTCAGCACTTGTTTGTCTGAAAACAACTTCATTTCTCCTTCATTTTGTTTCAGGGGGCTAAAGATGGGACCTCAATCCCCTCTGGCTTGTAAGGTTTCTGCTGAGAGGTCTGCTGTTAATTTGATAGGTTTTCCTTTATAGGTGATCTGATGCTTTTGTCTCACAGCTCTTAAGATTCTTTCCTTTGTCTTGATTTTAGATAACCTGATGACTACATGCGTAGGTGGTGATCTTTTTGCAATGAATTTCCCAGGTGTTCTTTGAGCTTCTTGTGTTTGGATGTCTAGACCTCTAGCAAGACCAGGGAAGTTACCCTCAATTATTTGCTCAAATAAGTTTTCCAAACTTTTAGATTTCTCTTCTTTCTCAGGAACACCAGTTATTCTTATGTTTGGTCATTTAATATAATCAAAAATTTCTTGGAGTCTTTGTTCATTTAAAAAATATTTTCTTTGTCTTTGTGTGATTGGGTTTATTTGAAAGCCTTTTCATTGAACTCTAAAGTTATTTCTTCTACGTGTTCTATGCTACTGTTGAAAGTTTCCACTACATTTTGCATTTCTCTAAGTGTGTCTTTCATTTCCAGAAGTTGTAATTGTATTTTCTTTGTGATATCTATTTCTCTTGAGAATTGTTCATCTATACCCTATATTGTTTTTTAATTTCTTTAAGTTGGTTTTCACCTTTCTGTGGTATCTCCTTGAGTAGCTTAATAATCTACCTTCTGAAGTGTTTATCTGGCAATTCAGAGATTTCTTCTTGGTTTGGATCCATTCGTGGGGATCTGGTGTGATCTTTCGGGGGTGTTATAGAACCGTGTTCTATAACAGGATTACTTTTCTGGTTTCTTCTCATTTGGGTAGACTATTTCAGTGGAGAGGTATGAAACTTAAGGCCTGCTGTTCAGATTTATTTTCTTGTCCTAGAGGGTGATTCCTTGATGTCGTGCTCTCCCCCTTCCCCTAGAGATGAGACTTCCTGAAAGCTGGTCTGCAGTGATTGTTATTGCTCTTCTGAGTCTAGCCACTGAGTGGGGCTATCAGGCTCTGGGCTGATGCTGCAGGATGTCTGCAAAGTGTCCTGTGATGTGATCTGTCTTCAGGTCTCCCAGTTGTGGATACAAGCACCTGCTCTGGTAGAGGTGGCAGAGAAGCAAAGTAGACTCTGCGAGAGCTCTTTGTTGTTAATATGTTTAGTATGCTGGCTTTCTTGAATGCTGGTTATGCTAGTGATGAAGTTGTCACATGGACACACTCAGGACCTCTGGTTAGCCAGGATGTTGCAGGCAGTGAAATTAGGTGTTGTCTTCTCCTTCCTGGGATCAGGGTTATTCTGTCCTGAGTTGCTGTAATGGCCTGAGTTGGTTGGCCTCCAGCTAAGAGGTGGCACTTTCAAGATAGCACCAGCTGTGATAGTACTAAAGGGCTCTAAGCTTACTCTAAGATGGTCCTGCTAAGTATTTTGGTTTCTCAGGTGTTGGGTGGGGCCATAAAGCTCCCATGAGTTTCTGTGTTTTGTGTTCAGCTATCAGGGTAGTTACGGAAATACTGTCATGTGGGGGCAGGGTTTGGTGGGTCTGGGTGCAGACTCTCCTTGGGGAGGGCTTGCCATGACCACTGTGGAGCATGGGGTGAGGTGGTTCTCAGGCCAATGGGGTTATGTTCCATAGGCAATCCTGGCCGCCTCTGCTGTGCAGTATAGCTCACCAGGGAAGTGGGAGATAGCCAGTAGCAAGAAGCCGTACCCAGCTCTCATGCAGTTGGCGAGGCCAGTCTCTCATTCATGCAGTGCCCCTGCTCTGACCTTGCCAGAAGCCATGAGCTACTCCACTGGGAAAGCAAGCATGGCTTTAGGACCTTGCCTTTCCCTGTCTGCCCACTCCATCAGCAGCAGCTCCTGTACTCCTGCACTTGCTTGTATGTGCAGCAGCTCCCTCCCGTCCCCCAGACTGGACTCAAGAAAATGTGTGCCCAGCCAAAACCACTACCAATTTCATTTGGGAGCCTCCTTCACCCCATAATCCCTCCCCAATTCCTCTGGCCACCTTTCCTGAGGGCTCCTGTGAGATATAGTCAGGGATGGCCTTTCTAGGTTAGAGGTGGAGGCTGGGAGTGCATGCAAGTCACTTCCCACTGCTACTTCTACTTTTATATCTCATGTGACTTCCTAAATCCATTTCATTTCTAGGTAAGGTTAAATCCTCTTGTGATCTGGATTTTCAGATTCCCCAGTCAGGATGTGTGATCGAAGGTAGGTTTTCCTTTCGCCCTCTCACACTTTGGGAACACACAGTTTTTCACCTGTTTTGTGGAATTTGCAGCAGTGTGCTGCTTCCTTCAAAGGATCTGTGAATTCTTTCAGTTTTCCTGGTATGTTCCTGTGGGGGTTCTTGAAGCAAAAGATCACAGTGTGAGTCCCCACACACTCTTCTGTCTGTCCATGTGGGAGCTATACATTATCCCTGTCTCCTATCTGCCATTTCCCCCCCACTTCGATTTTCTCAAACCACATTAAAAAGACCAATCATCATGACCAAGTGGGATTTATCCCTGGAATACAAGGATGGTTCAGCATACATAAATCATTAAGGTGATATATCATATCAACAGAATGAAGATCAGAAACCATATAATCATTTTGGTTGATGCTGAATAAACATTTGATAAAATGCAACATCACTTCATGATAAAAACTTTCAATAAACTAGGAATAGAAAAAATATACCTCAACATAATAAAAATTGTATATGACAGACCCATCATACTAAATGGGGAAAAATCTGAAAGCCTTTCCTCTAAGATCAGAAATAGGACAAGAATGGCCAATTTCACCATTATTATTCAACACAGTACTGGAAGTTCTACTTAGACACACTAGACAAGAGAAAGATATAAAAGGCATCCATGATGGAAAGGAAGAAGTCAAATTATCCCTGTTTGCAGATGGTATGATATTATCTTTGGAAAAAACTAAGGAGTCCAGCAAAAAAAACCATTTGAACTGATAAATTTAGCAAAGCTGAGGATACAAAATCAACATACAAAAATCAGTAGCATTTCTATATGCCAATGGTGAACAATGAGAAAAAGAATAAAAAAGTAATCCCATTTACAATAGTCACACATAAAATTAAATATCAATGAATTAATTTAAAGAAGTTAAAGATCTCTATAACAAAAACTATAAAACACTGATGAAAGAGATTAAGGACAATACCAAAAAAAAATGGAAAAATACTCCATGTTCATGGACTGAAGAATCAATATTATTAAAATGTCCATACCACCCACAGAAATCTACAGATTCAGTGCAATCTCTATCAAAATACCAATGACATTCTTTATAGAAGTAGAAAAAAAATGTAAAATGTATATAGAACCACAAGAGACTCAGAATAGACAAAGATATAGTAAGGAAAAAGGACAAAGAAAGACAAACTTCACATGTTCTCACTTATTTATGGGAGCTAAAAATGAAAACAATTGAACTCATGGAGATAGAGAATAGAAGAATGGTTACCAGAGGCTGGAAGGGTGGTAAGTTGGGGAGAGGAGGGTAAGTGGGGATGATTAATGGACACAAAAATATAGTCAGAAAGAATGAATAAGATGTAGTACTTGATAGCATAACAAAGGGATTATAGTCAATAATAATTTAATTATACAGGTTAAAATAACCAAAAAAGTATAATTGGATTGTTTGTAACACACACGAAGGAAGTATGCTTGAGGTGAGCATACCCCATTTACCCTGATGTGATTGTTACACAATGCATGCCTGTAACAAAATATCTCATGTAGCCCATAATTATACACACTTACTATATACCCATAAAAATAAAAAATAAAAATAAAATGATAGGATATTTATTTCTTGATGGAAATAACAGGGGAATAGAACTATCCCTGGACATGAAAAGTGGATTTAATTGAATACAATTATTTAAGTGGCTAGACATATGTAGCAGCAATAAAAAAGGACCTAACATTTATTGGACTGGATAAATATTATCCAATCCTTTGGCATTTTGTAATTTTAATTCCAAATAAATATCTCTAGAAGTTGTAAACATAAAATTTCATGTTTGAAATTCAGATAATTTAGATAATTCAAAATTTATGAAAGAAAGTATAGTTTCAAATTCTTCCAAATTGTGCTAGTTTTGGTTCCGCTTTTAGGTTTTCTAAAATAAGTTGGAAATTATTAACAGTCATATGAGGTATATATTGAACTATTTTCATAGGGTCCTATGAATTTTATCTCATAATGATGAATAATATAAAAAAGCTAGCTTATCTGCCATGTATTATTAATGGAACCAATTATATTTATAGTTTAGTGAATAAGGTAAAATATGACATTTTAAATAATGATGAGATACTTTCACAGAAAACAATGGGAATTTGATACTGCTGAACTTTACCAACTAGACAATCATGTTGGAAAATGTGATCTGATATAAAAATCTTTCCAAATTTTTCTTCTTGTATGTTTTTCTATACTTGCAGATCATCCTGTAAGATTTGAACATGCCCACATTAGAATGTAACTTATCTTGAGGGGGTTGGATGGCCTAAAAACAAACCAATCAACAAACAAAAGGATGTAACTTAGTTTCTGAAGTCAAATGGTGTGTATCTGAAGCTGGAGAAAATGGTCTTTTTTGTTTTTGTGAATATTTGTATGAAGAATTATAAACTTGCTTAAATATGTGGATAACTATTTTTACCTATGAAAACTGAAGCTTTCTTGTGGTAACATTTCACCGCATATGTGAATTACCAGGTTCAAATAGTAAGATATTTTGTGTGGAAAGTATCTTTCTTCTCTATCCACCGTAGGTGGCCTTCACTGGGAACTAAAAAGGCCCAACCAGGGAAACACAGTGTTTTTATTTTTAATTGCTTCAGGTAAAGAAAAATTTTATCATGGTGATACCTGTAGAGAAACCAGAGATAGAAAGGCTAAGATGCTTATTAGCAATCCTTTCAGATTAGTTCAGATACTTTGTTTCACTGGCTGATGCTACAAAAAATGTTTATCATAAATATCGTATCTTAATGAAATTGGCTTAAAATGCTCACTACTACTGGACAGTGACCCTCAGCAAGCCTAAAGCAGGTGTTACAAAACAGGGAATCTAAAGTTATGGAGACCTAACGTACAGCATGATGACTATAGTTAATCATACTGTATTGAGTACTTGAAATTTGTTAAGATAGTCGATCTCAATCTCACACAAAAAAGGTAACTATGAGGTTATGGATATGTTAATTAGCTTGATAGTGGTAATCATTTCACAATGTATAGGTATATCAAAATATCACTTTGTACAACTTGAATATAATTTTGATTTGTGCATTATACCTCAATAAATCCGAGAAAAAATCAGACAACTCAATAATTTAATATGCCACGTTTACAGACAAAATAAAACACTGATGTGATATATCGATTTCCGAGGTCTCTGTTGAACTGAAAGTTTCAACTACTTATTAGGCAATGCCGATAAGATTTTGAATCTAGGGAGGCATCTAAAAGAGGCTAAATTTAAATAAAAAATTTTTAGCCTGAAGTCAGCAAGCCATAATAAATGCCTACACCTTCTTTTGTTATAACAGGGAGATATTTTTAAATCAGCAAACCACTGTAAGATCTTTAAGAGAATCCTTTCAACACAGAAGATGCCATATGTGTTTTTAATGGATTTTCAATTGGGTGCATTAAGCTGGGTCTCTCATGACTGAAGTGTTCAGGAGGTGGGACATATTAACATATGAGCCACGAAATGTGACAGAGACAGAGGATCAGGAAGGAGAGGGTGATATTTTTACAAAGTACATGCAGATAGCAGCATTGAATTCTTCACAATCCTTTACCTTTTTATCTTTTATCTTTTCTTTTACTATACCATTTTAAACACACTTTTTCCAGTAAAGTATGTTGGCTGAGAGCAATCAAATTTTGACTCCACTTTAATGGATACACGTTTTGGAGCAAAACATTTCAAATAGCTTGTTTTGAAGAGGACTGTGTAAAAATAACTCTTATAACAATAAAATAGCTTTAATAATGTGCTGTTTTCTATTTTATCTTGAATGTTTTGTACAATTTGTTTTAGAATTACATAACTGTGTCTTTATAATAGAATAAATTATATTCCTTTGGGTATATGCCCAGTAATGGGATTGCTGGGTTGAATGGTATTTCTGTCTTTGGGTCTTTGAGGAATTTCCACACTGTCTTCCACAGTGACTGAACTAATTTATACTCCCATGAATAGTATATAAGAATTCCTTTTTCTTCACGACCTCATCAGCATCTGTTATTTTTTGACATTTTTTTTTTTTGAGACAGAGTCTCACTCTGTCACCCAGGCTGGAGTTCAATGGCACGATCTTGTTCACTGCAACCTCTGCCTCCCGGGTTCAAGCAATGCTCCTGCCTCAGCCTCCCAAGTACCTGGGATTACTGGCACAGTCCCACCATGCCCAGCTAATCTGTGTATTTTTAATCGAGACAGGGTTTCACAATGTTGGCCAGTCTGGTCTCAAACTCCTGACCTCAGTTGATCCACCTGCCTCGGCCTCCCAGAGTGCTGGGATTACAGGCGTGAGCCACCACATCTGGCCTTGACTTTTTAATAATAGCCATTCTGACTGGTGTGAGTTGCTATCTCACTGTGGTTTTGATTTGCATTTTTTCAGTGATCAGTGATGTTGAGATATTTTTCAAATGATTGTTGGCCACATGTAAGTCTTCTTTTGAGAAGTGTCTGTTCATTTCATTTGCCCACTTTTTTATGGCGTTGTTTGTTTTGCTCTTGGTAATAAGTTCCTTATAGAGGCTTATAGTTTCTTATAGAGGCTGGATATTAGACATTTATTGGATGCATAGTTTGCAAAATTTCCTTCCATTCTGTTGGTTTTCTGTTTACTTTCTGTTTACTTGATTGTTTTGCTGTGCAGAAGCTCTTTTGTTTAACTAGATCCCATTTGTTGATTTTTGCTTCCGTAGCAATTGCTTTTCTCATTTTCATAATGAAATCTTTGCCCATGCCTATGTCCTGAATGGTATTGCTTAGGGTATCTTCCAATAGCAAAACATAGAATCAACCTAAATGCCCATCAGTGATAGACTGGATAAAGAAAATGTGGTACATGTATACCATGGAACACTATGCAGGCATAAAAAAGAACAAGATCATGTTCTTTGCAGGGACATGGATGGAGCTGGAGGCCATTATTCTTCGCAAACTAACACAGGAATAGAAAACCATACACTGCATGTTCTCACTAATAAGAGGAAGCTAAATGATGAGAGCACATGAACACATAAAGGGGAACAACACACAATGTGGCCTTTCAGAGGGTGGAGGGTGGGAAGAGGGAGAGGACCAGAAAAAACAACTAATGGCTACTAGGCTTAATACCTGGGTGATGAAATAACCTGTACAACAAACCCCCATGACACAAGTTTACCTATCTAACAAACTTGAACTTGTACCCCTGACCTTAAAATAAAATTTAAAACAAGGAATTACATAACTGTGATTGTTTGAAAAACTGTTAAAGAAATAACTAAAGTATATATGGCTGTCCTTGACATTGGCAATATATTAAAATTGATTTTTTAAATATAAATTGAAAACCATTGGTAGTATTTAAGACCATGACAATTTAAATATTTATATTTGTCTATTAAAATAAATTTATGTCAGCCTCTCTCTCTCTCTCTCTCTCTCTCTCTCTCTGTGTGTGTGTGTGGGTATGTGTGTGTGTGTGTGTGTGTGTTGAGGGTGGTGTGTATCATGTACATGCATGTGTGTGCCAGTGGTTGCTCTTTGGGGAAGTAACAGAAATTTAGAATCCACTCAGCAAATAAAAAATAAATACCATATTCACCTTATCTCTATCTGAAGATCAACTATGTACAAAAACACTAAAATCATTGTAATAACTGCTTATGTTTTAGAATTATAATAGTGTACTAGTGTAAATAGTGTGGTAGTACATACTTTCACTAGTCATGTCATTTTATTTTAAAAATAGCATTACAAACTATATATTGTCTGTATGGCATGAAGTTGGCAGAGTTACCGAAAATGTATTCCTTGGCCACAGTGTGTGCATTAGCACATTATTGGTGAAAATATCTTTCTAGCAAAAATTATTTTTTGTTTTCCTCAAGTGATTTATCCTTCTTTGAAAAAAAGAGTAAAAGAGTAATAAAAATTTGTTCCAAAGTGGTTTTGTGTTTGATATTTAAAAAGGAATTTCACAAACATTTTGTTTGTCACTACCTATGAATCTAACAAATGCCATGATTCTTCGTTAATTTAATGAGTTCATATGACCATAATTAATTAATTAAGTAATTAATTTTCCTGAGTGCCTATGTGCTGAAACCAAGCTGGTTACTAGGGTTACGAAGTTAATAAAGGCGTTGTGTTTGCTTTTCAAATGCTCAGTCTAGTGAGTATAAGGTTATTAATGGGCAATATTTCAAATATGTAGATAAGCAGTCAATTAATGGATGCATGTATGTTTATGTTCAGTGATTATCATCCTTGTTTGCTCATATAAATCACCTGTCAGGCTGACAACAAAGATAGCTAGGCTTCAACTCAGACCTCTATTATAATTTCTTAGGATAGATTCTGACCTCCAAATGCAATTTTAATGCACAGCCAGTGTTGTGAATCTCTGGTCTAGACGTTGATCAAATACAAGGTCACTTTTATCAAAGTGGTTAATATATTGGGCCACTGTTGATTCAGCTTGTTTCTCTTATTCTAATAGTGACAGAAGGTGAAGTCTTCTGTACTCTAAATTAAAACAAAATGGGAAGATGCTAAAGAATCCTCAGTGTATAATTGTTTATTTGTTTCACTGCCCATATGCAGCATAGGAAACAAATATTTCAATATGTTGAATTTGGTTAACATAAGGTTAAAAGTTACCTCTACATATCTTTAGTAAGTTGATGTTATCTTCTAGAGCAAATTGTAAGCTAAAAATGTCTTCTTTATCACAATTTTGAATATATGAGTCAAGTACATTATAATTTTTTAGTCTTTAAATATGATCCTCAAACGTAAAGATCTTATATGTACATAGAAAGCCATAACCTCCATGATGCTTCTACATTATTTCTCTGAAGCAGTGATTTTGAAATATATAAATGACAAATGACTAATTATATGTATGAAGTCTAAGAACAAGTGAATTATAAACCTGTTTAATGTACATAGAAATTATGCAGGAAAAGTCACAATAAATTGGGCAGACTTTTATTCTTCTGAATGGCACCATGGCACAGTTAAACACTTAGAAAAAGGCACAATTTAGTTTATTTTTTAGAAACAAAAGTTTCAAATCTTGAGAAAATTAGTTGATTGTCATTTCATACCTTAGTAAAAAAAAGTGTAGAGTTGACACAGAGGAAAAAAACAACAAAAAGAAAAATGAAAATATCATGTGTCTTGAAAAACACTTTATTAATTAGGCATTACTTTCCAATTAGGCATAAAATATAACTAAAAATATATAAGTCTAAACTTTGTAAACTGAATTTCTCTATAAAATTACTTTTATACAAAAAGCAATTATTATATGAAAAAGAGAAAAGCATTTAATAATGATAGATTATCCGTTAGAGTATTGATAACTGATGAGATAGTATACAAATATCTTTTAAAACTCAGTAGCTTTTAAATATTTTTCTTATTTATCTGTACAATAAATTTCTGGAAGTAGAATTACTGACTTTACTACACATCATGAAAGCTGACTTTTAAAAGCTATTCTTTCACCTGAGGGAATATAGTGAGACCTTGTCCCTACAAAAACTAAAATAATTAGCTGGGCATGGTGGTGCACACCTGTAGTCCCAGCTACTTGGGAAGCTGAGGCAGTAAAAGAGGTTGAGCCTGGGAGGTTGAGGCTTCAGTGAGCCGAGATTGCACTAGTGCACTCCAGCCTGGGTGACAGAGTGAGACTCCATCTCAAAATAATAATAACAATAATAATAATAATAATAAACAACAAAAAAGTAAAAAATAAAAGCTGTTCCTCTTTATACTACCAGAAGTTTTTCTTGGAGTTTCTTGGTGGAAGATCATTATAAACAATAAATAGCACTATATTTTTCTTTTTAATATTTATTCTTTTCCCCTGTACTACTGTTGTAAATGAAATGTCTAAAACAATTTTAAACAAATTGTCCTTAGCTTATTATAGATTTTAATGGAATTGCCTCCAGTGTTTCTTTGTGAATTACACTGTTGGCTGTTGGATCGGTGCACAAAGGGATTTATGTTCAAGAAGGTTCATTATAGTTTGTTTATAATAGCATAAAAATAAAACCATTCATTAATATTGGATATCTAAATGTATTATAGAATGTCTATGTGATGCAATATTATGTAGCTATCAAACATCCTATTTGAGAAGAGTATTTAATAAAATAAAAATGAGCACACAGAAAAAAGATTGAAAGAATATGCACTGAAGTAACACTTATTATCATTGAGTTGGTAGGATTATAGGTAATTTCTATTTTTCTTCTCTATTATATCTCTATTCATCTGTATTTTTCAAACGTTCTACAATTAATTTATACTATTTTATAGTCAGAAAAGGATCAATTACTAACAATTAAATAACAAGTACAAGTTATTTTTGAGAAATATAATATCCAAATTGAATTATAGCTGAAGAAACTCTTGGCTTATTAATCAGTCAATCATAGTTGGATGCTTCCACTAAACTATATAGTGATGATGAAATGTAAATATGTAGTCGTACTGCTGCCTTTAACTTCAGACTATTCCCCATCATATGTTAAACTGTGCTAAATATCCATTTACTTATGATATTAGGTTGGTGCAAAAGTAATTTTTAAAAGTAATTTTGTCATTACTTTTAATCGCAAAAACCACAATTACTTTTGCACCAACATAATATAATAGCTTTATCATATACTATTTCCTACATTTCAAAGTATTTAATCCCCACACCCATCTTCTCACCCTTTTGTCCCACAGTTAAAAGGAATTAGAGTTTTACCATCTTTACATGTAAAACATCTACACATTTGTTCTCCATCTCCTCAACTCCTACTTCTTTACAAAACTTACACTCCTGATTATCTTAGTTCAAACCCCAATTGCTAATTTCTAGTCAACTGCCTTCAATTTTGGAGTTGTTTTAGAAAATATACTCTATTTGATCCCCTCCACCATCTCATTCGTCAGTCCCTGTTTTCATTTCCCACCTCTACTACCCTAGTCCTGGCCCTTATCCCTTATTTTGTTCTTAATTCAATGTTCTGGTTCTCCTAGCTGATTTTCCTACTTTAAAACTTGCCTTCCATTTGTCATTATAATTTTTAATTAATCATCTCAAAATATTTGTTATCACATTTTTTTCCTACTCAAATATTTTATACACGCGCACATGCGTGCACACACACACACACACACATGCACATAGAGGAACCTGAGCTGAGTCACAATGACTCTGTGGAATTTAATCATGTTATGTAAATAGAATGGCAAAGAGCAAGTCTCCACTACAAAAAAATATGAATGAATTTGTAGAAACTAAAACCAGCATGCTGTATAGTAGAAAACTGCAAGTGATATGATATCTCTGAAGCGTAAACTATGACCCAGGGATGAATGAGACCTCAAGCTGAAAATTAAGCACAAGACCACACCATGGAGAGTTTTGTTTAGTATACTAAAAAATAGGTATTTATACTGAAACTTATGAGGATCCAATGAAGGATTTTAAGCAGAGGGGTGGGATGATGAGATTTGCAAGTGAAATAGAATCTTCATTGGCTATGTGGAAGCTGACTTGAGTGAAACAAGATTAGAGATATGATGAATGCCAGCTAAGCAGCTATCTCAGTTGTCCACATAAAACATGAAAAGAACTTAAAATAGGATACAGGAGTAGAGATAGAAGCAATAAATGCTACTCTTGTGTTTAAGAATACAGAATTTGGAATGTAAACATTTGTATTTAAATAACAGCTTTACCAAATAGTATTTGTGTGACATATAGCAAGACAATGAACCTTCGTGAGCTCCATTTTCCCCATAAGTGAAATGGGAAAAATAGTACCTGTAGTATGAAAGTTAATACTTTTTAAATTCTTGGCACCATACCTTGCATGTAGTACATTTTGAAAAATATTATCTGCTATCATTTTCATTATTTTAAAAATATTTTAAATGTAAAGTCAGAAAAAAAAATGTTGTTGAACAATTGGAATGAAGGGGAGGGGGAGAGAAGGAAGCATAGGATGTTACTGAGATTTTTAACTTGAGTGACTTGAATGAATGGTGACTCTATCAGTTGAAGTAGGTAAGAAACCAGATTTGGGAAAAGGAATTTGAAGGGAATCAATCCAATTTAGAGCGAGTAGAGCTTGAAGTTCCATGGACCAGTGAAGGGGAGATGTTTATAGGAGAACTTGATGTATCAGTCAAAATCTCAGGTGAGGGACCAGGACTGTATATGGAGATCAGAACTCATCAGGATATAGGTTATATATAAAACAACAGAGAGAGTATAAAATGATGAGAACAGGCTGAGGATATAACTCTAAGAAAATTAACACTTATGCAGTGGACAGATGAAATTACCACACAGAAAAAGAAATGGAATTATCAGAAGGCCAAAAAAAATCAGAAGGGAATATCATCATGCAAGCTAAGAAAATAGAACTTCAAAAGGAGTGAATGAATGAGGAAAAATGCCGAATAGAGCAGAAAGATGGAAATAAAAAATGTCCATTGAGTTTGGCAAATAGGAGGCCACTGCTAACTACATGAGACATATGAGTAGTGAATGGAGGGGATAGAGACTAGATTAAGATGTTTTGAAGAGCAATTGGGAATTGAGGAAGTGTAGGTGGTTGACGTAACATTCCCGTTTGAGCAGGACACATGAGAAACACTATTCCAAAAATAAATATAGAAATTTCTTTCATTTGTTTTTTATTGCCTCCACAAAATTGTCAATAACATGGCCCTAACATCTTCTTAAATGTGTCTCAACAGTAGCTGAAAACATTGCTCCAAAAATATGACATATGTTTTAGCTTATTTAATTCCTACCAACTGGGACTTTTCCTTTCTCTCCATTTTTCCAAATCCTGCATTAGGGACCAAATCATGTTCAATCTCTTCCACGAGTCTTTCCCAATTTACTCTAGCCCTTAATGGCTTCTTCAAACTCAAAAATAGGAATTATTCCCATACTGTGTTGTATTTTAGGGATTTATTTTCATGAATGTATGCCTGGCGAGCCTAAGTAGTATGTATTCTGAAACCAGTCAAATAAAAATTAAATTAAATTTTGTCTTTACGTTTTATCTTGGGATACCTATTTTAATTAGTTATCTTTGTAAGATACCCATCCACATTCATGGAATGAAGTGTTTATAATTTCAAAGATCATAGAGTGATAATAGAGTAAAATGTCTAATATTAAAATCACATAATAAGTCATATTCTTATCATTTTATTATAAACATCCCCCTTAAAGTAATTTATTGGTAATTCAGAAAAGAGAGTAATACTTACATAATATCTCCCTATGCCTATGGAGAAAGAATGTGAAAAAGACATATATCTTATGAGTTGATAAACTACCACTGAACAGTGGCATTTGAGGTCTTATTCCAGAGTCAGAAAGGCTGACAGGAAAGGACTGGGAAGTGAGAGTTAGGCCAATCTTGGTAAAATTCCAATCAGGCCACTTACCAATTACCTGAGCTTGAGCAAATTGCTGAAACTCTGAAACTCAGTCTCCTAGTTTTGTTTGTGATGTGACAACATTACTTGCCTACCAGGTAGCTGGGCAGGTTAGTTGAGGTAACTGGTGAAGAAGGGGCATAATGCTTATCAAGTGCCTGTTATATCCCAGTCACATTTCATAGGTTATCTAATTTAATTTACACAACAAACCTGGGAGTTTGACATTATTTTTGCCATTTTTATAGTTAAAGATCCTAAGGCTCAGAAATCTTAAACAGTTTTATGCAAGGCCCAGCAGCTAAAAAGTCAGTGTTACAAACCATGTTCCCTGATTCTGAAGCTCATTCACTTCCTGAGGCCCCAGTGTGCCTGACACAGAGTAGACACACAAGAACAGTTTTCTCCTTCTCTTTCTAATTTTGAGGAGAATCACTATAGTTACCATTTCTGAAATCGCCTTACTTGCCACTGAAAGCTGTTCAGTTTCCTTAATTAAGTGCCATACAAAACCCGTGGTTTTATGGAATTTGATTTCATGTGCTTATGAGCTATTCTAAGACATACTTGGTATAAATGTAGTTCATGAATTAGAAGTTGCATTTCAGAAACACAGGAGTCTTACAGTCACCCCCATATAATCATAAGTTGGACATTTTGGATACTTGCATAAAATCTTGAGATGTCTGTAATCAAAGGCCCATCATTTCAGTGTTTTATGAGGGAGCAAACCTAATTGTACAGCAGGTTGAAAGCCTTGTTTAGTTCCACAGTGTTCCCCATCATCCTGAAGCAGCTGGATTGATAGAATTGTGAATGGCCTTACAGGGATGGGGCAAAGTTCTCCAGAAGGCTGTGTATCCTCTGAATCACTGTCCAATATATGGTACTGCTTCCTCTCATAGCCAGGATTCACAGGTCCAGGAATCAAGTGGTGGAAGTGGAAGTGGCACCACTCACCATCACCCCAGTAACCTACTAGAAGAATTTTTGCTTCCTGTTCCCATGACATTACGTTCTGCTGGCCTAGAGGTCTTAACTCCAGAGGGAGGAATGCTGCCACCATGAGACACAACAACAATTCCATTAAACTGGAAGTTAAGATTGCTACCTGGCCACTCTGGGCTCCTCCTACCTCTAAGTCAACAGGCTAAGAAGGGAGTTACAGTGTTTGCTGGGGTAATTGACCCCGACTATCGAGATGAAACCAGTCTACTACTCCACAATGGAGGTAGGGAATAGTATACATGGAATAAAGGAGACCCCTTAGGGCATCTCTTGGTATTACCATGCCCTGTGATTAAGGTCAATTGGAAACTACAACAGCCCAATCCAGGCAGGACTACAAATGGTCCAGACTCTTCAGGAATAAAGGTCTGGGCCACTCCACCAGGTAAAAACCACAACCTGCTGAGGTGCTTGCTGAAGGCAAAGGGAATACAGAATGGGCAGTAGAAGAAGGTAGTTATCAATACCAGCTATGGCCATGTGGCCAGTTGCAGAAACAAGGACTATAATTGTCATGAGTGTTTCTTCCTTATTTTGTTAAGAACATGTTTGTGCATGTATACACTTGTACTAAGAAAATGTCTTCATTTTATTTCCTTTCTTTTTTCTTTATCATGTGACATAAGAGTCATTGATTTCATATCAGCATTTAACTATTGTTAACTTTATGTAATAACATTTAGGTTGGGGATTGGTGTGTTTCCAGTTATACAAAGGATAGCTCTATTATGTTAGGTGTAATTATTTGAAGATTTTATATGTATATATATATAATTTCAGGAGATGTATATGGGTTCAAGTTGAAAAGGGGTGGACTTACAATGGTTAACACTGAGTGTCAACTTGATTGGATTGAAGTTTGCAAAGTATTGTTCCTGCATGTGTCTGTGAGGGTGTTGGCAAAGGAGATTAACATTTGAGTCAGTGGACTGGGAAAGGCAGACCCACCTTCAATCGGTGGACACAATCTAATCAGCTGCCAGCACGGCTAGAATAAAAGCAGGCAGAAGAAACTGGAAAGAATACACTGGCTGAGTCTTCCAGCCTACATCTCTCTCCCATGCTGGATGCTTCCTGCCCTCAAACATCGGACTTCAAGTTCTTCAGCTTTTGGACTCTTGGACCTTTGACCACAGACTGAAGGTTGCACTGTCGACTTCCCTACTGTTGAGGTTTGGGGACTCGAACTCGCTTCCTTGCTCCTCAGCTTGCAGTCAGCCTATTGTGGGACTTCATCTTGTGATAGTGTGAGTCAATACTCCTTATTAAACTCCCTGTAATATATACATCTATAGTATTGGTTCTGTCCCTCTAGAGAACCCTAATAAACGTGGTATTGGTAACAATTATGAAAAGTTCTCATTTTACAAATGCTTTTTGAAAAGTCATCTCATTGAGGTTCTGAACAATCCATCATCCCCATTTAACACAAGAAGAAATTGAGTCTCAGACAGAGAAGATGATTGATTTTCCAAGGTCACAGTAGATATATTAGATAGGAAAGCTAAACCTCAACAATGGTCTGGCTCCTAGAATGGTTTTGTTTTTGTTAGCTTCACTTTTTCTTAATTTTAATAGTATTTAATGCCATTTCATACAGTTGTTACAGTGTTGTCACATAGTAAATAGAATGTGTATGCAGTGGTAAGAATCCTGAACTGAAAGTCAGGAGATTAAAACTCATCACCTGATTCTATTAAAATCTAACTGAATAACCGTGGGCAAGTCATGCACACATTCTGACTCTTATCTTCATCTGACATTTTATGATTCTACCACTTAGTCAATATTGTCAATAATTTTCACTATCATTAGAAGACAAAACTTTATATCAGCTATATTTAAAAGTACATTCACCTACAACTGGAAAGGCTTTAAAGTTACATTACTGCCCAGAGCTATACTCAATATTTCTACTCAGGCTCCCATAAAGAACACACAATGGCAGGGTTTAGGAAGCAACATTCCTACCATGCAAGTGAGCTCTAATTAAGCAGTTAATAAAGTAGAATCACCTAGACTGTTGATCTGAGATAGCTTTGGTACAGGAGAATGAACAAGAAATTGGCTAAATTCGGCTGGGGCAAATTATTGAGCTCTCTGAGAGCTCAATCTTTAAAATGAGTATGATACCAATGATATCTAGCTCGTAATATTATAAGAAGATTAGATGAGTTCATCTATGTAGAAGAAGTCTTATACTTATTGACTCCTTTATGCTGTGCTATGTACATTTTTTTATACTATCTAATTTACTCCTCATGATCCTGTTGATTAGACATCTTGATATCACTAGAAAGATGAAGATCCTGAGGTTCAAACAGGATAAAGACCATGCAGCTAAAACCTGCAAATCCAGATTTGGAAAAAAAAAGGTCTGTCTTTAAAGCCCAGTCATGGCCCACCACACCTTGCTTTTCAGTGTGCCTAGCACTATGCCTGGCACCTAGCAAACACTCACAGAATTTTCCTTGAATTAATCCTTCCCTCTTTTTCTCCTTTTTATAAATTCTAATTTCTAGAACTTAATGTAGCAGAGGCATTTGATGTATGTTCCCTAAGTGGACGTAAGGAGTTAATGCAGCTTCCTAAATAAATGATGAACTTTGCCTCTTTGGAACAAAATGTATTTATAGTATGGCATTGTATATCTTTGACAATATTAAAAATTAATGTTGCAATTGTTACATATGAATTAAATAGTTAAATTAGGAAGCACAATCCAGAAACAAAATATATTTCCAATTTATGTTATATAAGCAAAAGTTAGTAATTCTGACTAAATTGAAAATTCATATTGTTTGAATTGATAACTTTCCTTCCCTTCTATAGATATCTGATGATCCATATTTGATATATATTTCTGGTGATTACCAAAAAGTCTAATCAGGCTAGGTAGAAATTCATAGCTATATTTAATGTATCAAAATGCTCCTTTTCATTATAAATTGATGTCAAAATTACTTTACACTTAGATTTGGTGATGTATATATATTCCCTCCTCCATCAAACTCATCCTGTGACTTACCAAACTGCAGGACATTAGAATCATATTATATTTTAAAGATTGCAAAGGCAGAATGGAAAACAGAGCTAGGGCTTGCAACACAATATCTGCAGAAAGTTCAGTTAAAACTTTTTGAATAGCTACTATCTTCAAAGTTTGTCCTGGGTTCATATATTAGAAATGGGAGTAGGTGAAGGAAGAAAGACTTCCTTGTCTATGCTATTTGCATTTCCCAACTGATGTGTTCATAGGAAATTATGCTCCACGGCAAATATCTGCTAATAATAGTAGCTTCCAGAATGAATGTAGTGCTTGCCAACTTTATGAAAATCTAATAAAAATAATCATATACAAGATTATCTGCCTGAGCTTAAATAGAAGAGAATGCATCTAGGAAGGTGCAAAGAGTGTTGGGAAAATATAATTGAACTTCGTGTTTTATAGAGCAGAGGAGAAATGTAATAGGTTAGTGCTAAAAGGGAAGGGCCTATGGACTTCAAACCAGGAGATTGGGGAGCCATGGATCTGCCAGAATTCTGATGTAGTATAGTGGAAGGAGAACTTAAGAGTCAATCAGACTTAACTATAGACTGTCTCTCTGCCACTTACTAATGTTATAACCTCTCTGAGATAAAGAACTAACATAGGTATGGTACCTAGCACATTACCTGACATAAAATAGCTGCTCATTAAAGGTCAGTTCTTTCTCTGGGCCTTGGTTCCATCATTTGTCAAATAATAGAGGCAGACTAGGATACTACATGATCTTTAAGGATCCATTCCATCTCTAAAATAGAAGCTGAAGACAGGTAAAACAATAAATCTCATAAAGATTATAGGTAATACTACAGTCTTGAAAATTAGGTCAGGCAGTATAACATAACCAGAAGACTAGAGAGCATTCTCAATATAAAATAAGGCCAGGTGCGGTGGCTCACTCCCAGCTCTCTGGGAGGCCCATGTGGGTGGATTGCTTGAGTCCAGGAGTTTGAGATCAGCCTGGCCAACATGCTGAAACCTCATCTCTACTAAAAAGACACACACACAAAAATAGCCAAGTCTGGTGGCACGTGTCTGTAGTTCCAGCTACTCGGGAGTCTGAAGTGGGAGAATCACCTGAGCACAGGATGTTTACACTGCAGTGAGCCGAGATTGCACCACTGCACTCCAGCCTGGGTGACAGAGAGAGACTCTGTCTCAAAAAATATATTTATTACTTAATTAAGTAAGTAAAATATTTCTCCAAGACCAAAACAAAAATTTGTTCCTATTAGAAGAATACACTCTTCATCTTTTTCTTTTTCAAATTGGAACATAAATTTAAGTTCTATTAACTGTATTTTAGCTTTATATTTATATATACTATGTATGTGTATTACATACATGTACATAATATACATATATACATATACATAATATACGTGTATATGTATATAATATGTATAATATATAATACATAACATATGTATATGTATATGTGTATAATGTATGTAAAGTGTATTACATATTATACATGTAATATGTAAATATACGGAATGTGTAATATAATGAATATTTGATACACATAAATATATACATATAATATAATATGTATTATATATAATATCAGTATTATATACATCTGTACAGAAATCAAACTTACATAAATATCTTTCTGGACTGTTAGGTTTCTTTGGGCAAGGGGAAACCTCATGTAGAATATATACAATTATTTGATATTTCTGTCAGAGATGAGAGAAGGTGTTAAAACTTGGGGGCATGAATATGTAAAACCTTCAGAAATGGTAACTTGTGCAAGGACCAATCCTAGGCATTACCAGGGAGAGGCAAACTAATAAATATGTAGGTTGATGAAACTGAGGAAATGTCCGAGAGAATCCATAGTTTTGATCTTTTGTATCCTACCACCTCTTTCTCTTTTCCTGTTAGGCTTTTGATCTTTTCAGCACTAGCACCCTCTCCCTGTCTCAATCTCTTTTTCCCAACACTCAACCACCTTGTATAGCTTTAGCTACACAAACTATACTTCTCTCAATGTGAAAAATATATTTTCAGAATAGCAGCTTATGTGGTTAAATAAACTTTACTCTCCACACAGTGTATATAGACATTGTGATGAGTACAGTGACCACCGCTCAGGGAATGAGAGAGTTCAGGTGATTTGACTGAAGTATACCACAGAGTAATATTGCTAAGAAAGGCATAAAAATGTATTATAAGGGAACATGATCAGAAAACTGTTTTCCTGAGTAAAAAGAGTCACCTTATCCAGAAAGTGTGTAGTTGACTGAGATTTTTTCTCTTATTGGATTAACAGAAATTATATGAGTCAAGGTGCATGCCCCTATGTGAACATAGGGTCACAAAGGGTGCCCAGAGGATGAGAAGCTCTGAACTACAGCATGTTTCTTTAATGTGTTAATAGGACAAGTCTCTATCTGTTAGTATATCTAACACTTCCCATGTCTATATGTGGTAGCCAATCTGGAGTTCTAACACATTCTACATGCCAGACTAACCTAAAAAAGGGTATGTTGCAAGTCTATTTTCTGAGTTGTCTCTTGGGATTCTGATTTCATATCAGAAGGGACATGGTATTTTTCTCCATGAAACAAAAAAAACGGACCATGAAATTTGAAATTTCATACATAAGCACAGTGATATTTGAGGTAGAAATAGAGTTAAGGCATATTTGGAATATTGTTATTGTACCTTTTCAGTTAGACTCATTTTAGATATAATTGTTTCTAAGAAATAAATCAGAGTAAAACATACTTTTGGCCTCTATCAGATTAAAAGGGAATAAGAGGGGTGCGTTTATGAATAAAAATCTTTCCGATGCCCTGATGGAAGCACTTCAAGAAAATGTAAAACACCACACAAACATAAAAGCAACATTTGTTCACTAGAAATATGGTAATGTACTGTTTTTGCTATGTTTTTCA
The DNA here is from genome assembly GCF_000001405.40 of Homo sapiens. Lineage (NCBI taxonomy): Eukaryota > Metazoa > Chordata > Mammalia > Primates > Hominidae > Homo > Homo sapiens. Next base: position 5,116,500 of record NC_000024.10, on the reverse strand, counting down.
TGTTATTGAGTCCTTAGTCTTGTCTTCATATCTAGTCTTTCACTATATTAACCCTTTATAATGACCCTCTATTACCAAGGTATGTGCACTGAAGAAAATAGTCACCGACTTTAAGAATGTTAATAGCTGCTTTTATTTTATCTGGGATGATTGAAAATTCTCTATAGTTGTAACTGAGCAAAAGAAACATTATTTTCCTATTCATGATGGTTTTCATTTCCTTTACAAAAAGAGGTGACATAAGTCACGATTTTTTATAAAACATGTACCATGGAAATGTCTTATCCTAAAGCTGGTGTTAAGAATCTCCTGATATAAGATTGTCTAGGAAAGATATGAAAGAGAAACTAAACTAAACAAAACCCCAATTTCCCAGAATGTTTCCTACATATAATTTAGAAAGACTTTTTATGTCGTAGTAAGAACGAAAGTAAAAAGGGCTAACTTAACAATTCGGTGGTGGCCGGGCGCGGTGGCTCACGCCTGTAATCCCAGCACTTTGGGAGGCCGAGGCGGGCGGATCACGAGGTCAGGAGATCGAGACCATCCCGGCTAAGACGGTGAAACCCCGTCTCTACTAAAAATACAAAAAATTAGCTGGGCGTGGTGGCGGGCGCCTGTAGTCCCAGCTACTCAGGAGGCTGAGGCAGGAGAATGGCGTGAACCCGGGAGGCGGAGCTTGCAGTGAGCCGAGATCGCACCACTGCACTCCAGCCTGGGCGACAGAGCAAGACTCCATCTCAAAAAAAAAAAAAAAAAAAAAAGAACTCGGTGGTTTATTTTTATCCGTTCTATTTCCAGGAAGCAGGTAGCATATTTGCTTTCAATGTAAGTGCCAAGAAGTTCATTCCTTAAAATTTTATATATATATGGTCAGTTTTGAGTAGGGATATGTAGTTTCTGCATTTTCAGAGTAGCTCTGCCATGTTATAATTTGGACATACATATATGTACATTTGATATCCCATGGTTTCTCCATCTGTTCATGTTTTCCCAAAATTGATAACTTTGATTTTCAGCAGAGGGGCGGAGAGACACAATGATTTCTATTTGGCGTGAACATTTCATCTCAGTACTTCGGCGACAGGATTTATGTCTACACAAACACATCCAAACCATAGTCGTCAATATAGATTTGTGATTATTCACCACAGAAAATGTCCCTCTATTGAAGACAAGAATGTCTTTTTTTCTCGCCATATAGCATACTGGGAATATTTTTCTTTGAAGAAATCACACACTGAGATGCTTCTTGTGCTAAAATGCCTAAAAGCGCTTGCAGTGAGCCGAGATTGCGCCACTGCACTCCAGCCTGGGCGACAGAGCGAGACTCCATCTCAAAAAAAAAAAAAAAAAAAAAAAAAAAATGCGGTTCTCTCACCCCTTTGTATATGGACTATATGCAGATCAATAAATGCGTTAAATTTTTCCTTTGATACTTTTTGAGTGTAACTCATGGACAAAAGGTGTAACAACAATCAAAATATCCAAAATAGAGCTTTAAAAATGTTTCTAGAATTAATGAAGAAAAGCAATGTAACAATTTTCTGGGAATAGTTTCCAGAAACTGATGTTTACAGGTTATATGACCTAGTCATTTATTTGAAACATTTTAATTTTATAAGAATTATGTAAGGTTGATGCTAAGATTTGAAAAGATATGGAAGGAAATGATAGCATGCCGACTTGTTTCATTTTTAATAAAATCAGGTAGCATTTCTTCATTTTTGTCATATACTCTCTGGTATTAAAATTGTGTTCTTGGCCGGGCGCGGTGACTCACGCCTGTAATCCTAGCATTTTGGGAGAATGAGGCGGGCGGATCACTTCAGGTCAGGAGTTAGAGAGCAGGTTGGCCAACAGGGTGTAACCCCAGTCTCTACTAAAAATACAAAAATTAGCCTGAAATTGCTTGAACCCGGGAGGCGGATGTTGCCGTGAGCCAAGATCGTGCCACTGCACTCCAGCCTGGGCAACAGAGCGAGACTCCGTCTCAAAAAAAAAAAAAAAAAAAAAAATGTGTTCTTGTCCTATCTCCACAGTTGCACTTCAATATCGCCAACTGCAGTTTATTTTTGTTTTTGTCCTTGCAGCGGTGTCTTAACAAAAAAAAAGTCCTCAAAATAATTCTGGTAAATTGTGCAGATTTATGGAGGCATCAAAGTGCATGCCATGATCAGGGAGGAGGGGGTGGCAGAAGAAATGACAAAAATACGAGGTGCATGGCAAGGTACGAGATAGAATGAACAAGTAGAACTGGTTAAGATTGCAAAGTCCCTTGAAAAATATAAAAATTGAGGCTTTATTCTATGTGCAATGAGGAAAGAGAAGCTTTTCTGTCAGGCTTCACTGGATCAGACCTGTGTTTTAGGAGTATTATGGGTACAGGGTAGAAAATTGATTGAACAAATGAAAGTAGAAAGTAAGGCAACCTGTTAGTAGTGGAACAGGTAACTGGTGACTAAGACTGGAAAAAGGAAATGGCGACGGGACAAATGTCAGGGGTATTTTGGAGGTATTATCAACATAATATAGCTGTTGGCTTGGATGTGACTGAGGAGAGGAAAGTGTTGCTGATTTTAGGATGCTTCCTGAAATGGGGTAAGTACATGCATGCCCATACCCAATACATACTTGGGAGGTGGTTTACTAGTGATATTCTCTCTCTCTCTCTAACACACACACACACACACACACACACACCCCTCTAATTATTATAGTAAACACTGAAATTTTATATTTTGTCACTTTTATGTGCTTTTTTTCTTTTTCTTTTTTTTTTTAAACCCTGATATTATATACTCACAAATTTTCTGCACTGGAAAAAGGAAAGTTGTTTGTTTTTTGTTTTTTTATTAAACATACTTGCAGTTCAACTCCTTGGACAGGGGGCTTTTTACAGTAATAGCAACTAGGGGAGAACCTTGGTCATCCTACATTTCTAGCCCCCTATACCCCATCCCTCACCATAACCATTGACCTTCTCCACATTGCCTTACTCACAGTAGGAGTTTGAGAAATATTTAATTTATCTTGTCTGAACTCATGGTAAACTCCGTTATCGATAATGCTTTATCAAATACAGTGGTTCATAAATGATACCACATTACCAATATTCAAAAAATGTTAATACAATAAAACGCACGAAACTAAAACTTTAGTAAATATGACTACTTCATTGCTTTGGGTTAATCGAAAAAGATCAATTACACCACAATGGTGGTGAACAGAAATGACAATATAAAAATTCTGGTTAATCCAGCACAGATAATGAGCTATACCATGAAGAATGTAGGATGTCACTGTGCTAAAAATATTTTAGGATCCTTGATGATGTTAATGAAACTAGTAGCCCCTGCTGACAAGAAGCACTTCAAAAAATATCAGAAGATGTGTTATTGCAATGCAGAAACAACTTTATTCATAAGTATTTCACTTAATACAGATTACACACACTGTATGCACTGAAATTACATCAAATACAACCAGGTGTTAGTATCTACATGTATTCCAGTTGAAAGATGCTCTATAATTAGTCATTCTAACATATTCATACAAAAACCTGTTCATTGGTTTTTTAAAATTACAGCTCCAAAGTAGAAAGCCAAAACAATATTTTAAAAGTGACTGTTATGAATCCTCTTGTATTTTAAATCTTCTTAATTTTAATGTTATACTGCTTTTCTTCAATGCTGTTCTTAGTACTAACTCTACTCAAAATCAGAAATGATAATAAACTGTATACATTGCCCAATCTGAAAATTGGATGTATCCTCATAATCATATTCCTATGATTTATGCCAGTCCAAAGTCCTCACTGAGCTGTTTACAAAAATGTTTGTTTATATATACATAGGTAGGCATGTACGCATGTATATAATTATGGTAAATCCATACCATAGCCATTTGATGAAGACATAAATTAAACCCATAAAGTTGAAGACACATGAAACAGCAAATCTGACATTGTACAGAAGACTAACAGAGAACTACTTCTTTCTTTTTATTTTCATAATTATTAAAATTAAGTAATGTAACAATGCAAAATAAAGAGGATTGTTTTAATGGACTTTTACTTGGATATATTTTAGTTATAACAACTGGGCAGAAGTTGGCTATTATGGAAAGCAAATTTGTCTTTATTTGTGTGTGTGTGCAAGAGAAGCAGAATCTGTACTAGTACTTAGATAACAAAAATCAATTTAATTTTTTATATGTACTTTAACATTACTGGATCTGTGATCATTTGGGAAACAGACAAATAATTTTTTTAAAAGAAAAAAACATGAGGACACATACAGAATGTACTGGATATGACAAGGATTTTCTAAATGAAAGATTATATATGGGATGATATCAGGGATACTGGATGATTATAGTTTAGAAACGAGGCATAATGGTGTAAAAGGGGACAATAACATTGTAAATGTAGATGCAAAATCTTTTAACAAGCTTTCTTTAGTTTGAAGTTTATATTACTTTTTTCTGCTAGAAATTTGAGAAACATAAATATGCACACATATATGCAAACATATCTGTGCTCACACATACACTAACCCATTTTAATACCAATACATTAGAACTGCTTAAACATCAAATTAATATGACATTTCCTCTAGACACACAATTAGGTATATTAACTTCTAGACATCTATCTTTCAGTTCAGACACCTAAAAAGATTTAAGTGTACATTCCCTCTCATTTCTTTAATTTGTGTGCATTTTGAAATAAATAAGTGTATGTCTTTATACACAACTAAAATGTATAAATGTAAAATTGAATTGCAGCACTGTGTGGAATTCTGTTGTTAACTGTTATCAGTTATTCTAGATTCAGATAATGACAACTTTATATAGCATGTAAAACTCTTTTTTCTATCGAAAATGAAACTATTTACAATATCATTCTGTAGTACTAAATTCTGTGTCTTTATGTAGTCAAATAATTCTGTCAGGTCAGCAAAATATCCCTATATGTAGTAAAAAATTCTATTTTGCCTCCATATGTTTTGGTATCATGTAAACACAGTCATGATAACAATCTGGAAGATAACTCAGCAGTTTCTTTGGATAATTAAATTTGTGTAAAAAAACTAATTATTTGGCCAGGTGCGCTGGCTCACGCCTGTAATCCCAGCACTTTGGGAGGCTGAGGCAGGTGGATCACCTGAGGTCAGGAGTTTGAGAACAGCCTGGTCAAAATGGCGAAACCCCGTTTCTACTAAAAATACAAAAATTAGCCGGGTGTGGTGGCACATGACTATAGTCCCTCAGGAGGCTGAGACAGGAGAATCTCTTGAACCCAGGAGGCGGAGGTTGCAGTGAGCTGAGATCAGGCCACTGCACTCCAGCCTGGGAGACAGAGCAAGACTATGTCTTAAAAAGCAAAACAAAACAAAACAAAAAAGTAATTATTTAATCTGAGCATCATAAATGATGAGTATAATTTTCTGCAAAAAATACACTCAATTCATAGTTTTGAATAACAAGAGATGAAATAAATAAAAATAATAATAAAATATGGTCTCTCATTTCAGAGGTCACAAACTAGTGTTGAGAGTCCATGAAATTCCATTTTTGTGTATTTGTTCCATCCTTGAATATGAGACTATTTCTGTATTTACATGTCAAAAGAGCCAGTGCATTTAAAAAAATAATTTTAGTTACTTCAAGTTTGTGTCACTCAACAACTATTCAAGTTGCATGTTTGAATTACTGAAAATATTTTTGGATAATGTAACAGTTGTTTATGATCAGTTCTCTTTAGTTATAATATATCATTGAAATGGTGCTCTGCATTGATTTTGTAATTAAGGTTAGAACTGATATATAATAAGTAAATACATTTTAAAGTTTATTTTATAGATTTCTGTAAATAACATTTTTCTTTAGAGTTCAATATTTGTTTTACTTTTCACTACTACTGAATAGTCAAAGCCTATTACTTAAAGTTTTCTCTAATTGACTAATGAAAGTATTATTGTATCTAATGTTTCTTCCAAGTTTTAAGATAAAAAGAATGAAAATGTTTTTATTTATTTATTTTAAAAAATTTTTTTGAGATGGAATCTCACTCTGTCACCCAGGCTGGAGTGCAGTGGCGTGATCTAGGCTCACTGCAACCTCCCCCACAACCCCCGCCACTCAAGAGATTCTCCCATTTCAGCCTCACAAGTAGCTGAGACCACAGATATGCACCACCAAACCCGGCTAAGTTTTTGCATTTTTGATAGAGACAGGGTTTCAACCATGTTGCCCAGGCTGGGCTGAAACTCCTGAGCTCAAGTGATCCACCTGCTTTGGCCTCCCAAAGTGCTGGGATTACAGGCATGAGAGTTACTGCGCCTGGCCACTGAAAATTTTTTTAAAAGTCAACTGTATTCAAAAGACAGTAACATTTTATGAAGTAAATCAATATATAATTGGTACATATAAGGTTCTAGGATAAGGGATAAAGTACAAATATTTCTAGAAAATCTATTGGAATAGTTCATTTTCATGATTATGTCAATTTGACTACCTGAAATCTAATGAAATGTGATTTGTGATTTTTTTCACTTGACAAAAACGTTTTATTATTAATTGGATATATTTGTGTATGTATGGATAATTAAATGTAATTAACTATTTCAAAAGGAACATTTAAAACAATTTCAGTTGCAAATATCTAGAATATAGGAAAATTAAAAGAGTTCTGAAAATTCTGGGAAATAATTATGTAACTAGGTTGTTCTAAGGGAACTTTTGGAAAACATTAGATGGTATTTTTTTAAAGTATAAAAGCTTTTTCATCAAGACTTGATATTTTTACTCAGGGGAGTTTAGTCTCATGATGGAGATATGTAACATGCCTCTGTATTACACTATCAACTAATCAAGGTATGTTATTACATAAATTTGTCCAATCATACATCTATAAAAATAAACAATATGTTTAATAAATAAATCAGTCTTCAATACATGTAAAAAGTCCTGGATGTATAGTTTATAAAACAATAAGCATAATTCTATAATTTTAAAATGCACCACTTCAAAAAGTTATATAGCCTTCAAACAGAATTACTGTTATAAAGAACTCACTGCTATAGCTTGAAATAAAAACAAATAATTTTAAAATTCTTCATCTAAAAACTTTATACAATTTTCTAGATTTTTCTACAACAAATGTGTATCACACGTACAATAAAAATAGAAACCTATGGCTACTCTAGAATTTTAAAAGTCAACTCCTAATTCTAAATACATTAAACCAAAGATGTCATGTATGAACACGCACGATGTATGAAAAAATGCACTGTAGTTCTTTCTAAAAATACTAATTATATGCAAGAAATATAGCTTTGTATTATCACAGAATCTTTGAATATTCTAGGAAGCTAAGTCATATTTAAAATAAACACAAACTAAGCTTCATAAAAGCCAAGAAAATACATTTATTACACAAAAGCACCTACAAGAAGCATTTATGGAATGTGGCTTAGATTTATATAAGATTACTCAAGGTCTGCTTGTCCTGTAGTGCTTCTGTTACACTCAGGCTGCACATCACATCTAGCTAGATACACAATTACAACATGGAATTCAACAGTGAGGAGTGCAGGTGACAAAACAGCAAAATGATGCAGTTAGTATTTCATGGTGAAATGACAAGGTTAGTAAATATTGATTGAATATAAACTCAACTTCTAAAAATTATTCTAAAGTATATATATATTTTCTTTTCTTTTCTTTTCTTTTTTTTTTTTTTTTTTTTTGAGATGGAGTCTAGCTCTGTCGCCCAGGCTGGAGTGCAGTGGCGCCATCTCGGCTCACTGCAGGCTCCGCCTCCCGGGTTCGTGCCATTCTCCTGCCTCAGCCTCCCGAGTAGCTGGGACTACAGGCGCCCGCCACCACGCCCGGCTAATTTTTTGTATTTTTAGTAGAGACGAGGTTTCACTGTGTTAGCCAGGATGGTCTCGATCTCCTGACCTCGTGATCCTCCCGCCTTGGCCTCCCAAAGTACTGGGATTACAGGCATAAGCCACCACGCCCGGCCAAGTATATACATATTTTCATTCATAATGTGGACAGGGTGGTCAACAGAGAAAACAGACTTATACATGAAAGATGAATTAATGAATGAGATTAAAATTGTTTTATAATTTTTACATTTAAATCATTGAAAATAAAAAAGTGAGAAATATAATAGCTTAAATATCATATCATTAAAAATAAACTTTCATAATTAAAATAAAATGAGAATATATTTCAGTATTTTTTGTTTAATTTATGCACTATAGATTTTGATCAAATAATATTTCTTTGAGTGCTTGCAGGGGAGAAAGTATACAGTACACTGTAGCTCATCAGGTAAGCTACTTATAATTTAATGGACAAAGTTCACTAAAAGTTCCTTTTATTTATCTATGATGACTAGTTTTTTTTTGTTTTTTTTTTTTTTTTGAGACAGCCTCTGGCTCTGTCGCCCAGGCTGGAGTGCAGTGGCGCGATCTCGGCTCACTGCAAGCTCCGCCTCCCGGGTTCACGCCATTCTCCTGCCTCAGCCTCTCAAGTAGCTGGGACTACAGGCGCCCGCCACCACGCCCGGCTAATTTTTTGTATTTTTAGTAGAGACGGGGTTTCACTGTGTTAGCCAGGATGGTCTCGATCTCCTGACCTCGTGATCCACCCGCCTCGGCCTCCCAAAGTGCTGGGATTACAGGCGTGAGCCACCACACCCGGCCGATGACTAGTTTTAAGATTTGCTATCTTTTTGTCTTTTCCTTTTCATGACTAGAATAAGAACCAGAGAGACCATCAAGGACATTTCATTGAGAATATTCCCGTAGTCGATGAATGACAACACAAAAGGTTGGAGATATCTGAGAACTTGCAAGGCAAACGTAATAATAATATCAATTAAATTAAAGGTGCGACCAGGTCAACTGATAAGGAATCAACTAAGGAAATAAATATTTTTGTCCTCTGGCCTTTGTGGAAAACTAGTTTCAATGCCTTCCATGTTGTTCTCAAATAGAGATAATATTCTCTCAAACAAAAGCAAAGGATGGATCAAGAATAGTTACTAGTCAAAAGTAGAATTCATTTTCATCTATGGCCCAAATTTAAATACTGTTAAATCTCTATACTATCATTGGCTTATATGGGTAAATATTTTAGCCCAAAGCAGAAGTCAGTTTAGAAGTTCCTTTCTCAGAGACGCTGCATTCTAAGAGATGGAGTCATAGCTTTAAAATAAAGTTTCTATTTTAATCTTCTTCAAATACAGCACCCATAAAACCATTGAGGAATGCTTTTAAAGAAATTCTGGATAATTATTTCAAGGAATTTTCATCTTCATATATACAAAGGAGTGATTAGGACCTTTACTCATTGCAGTTATGAAGGAAAGGTTCACTGAAATGGAAGAAAAACAAGGTATTCTCCCTTAGTTCAGTGTGTGCAGAAAAGGAAAGGAAAGGCCAGGCTAGTCATGACACAAGCAATAAAAATGCAAATGCATTTTTATAATAATTACATACACAAATGATCATGAAGCCATGACAGCTTATTATGGGACACTTCAACTTCTGATTCACTTTTCTGGGCTTCGTCATTTTATTCAAAATTAAATTGAGACTGTAGATTTTGGAAACCTCCACTCTAGGTATATCTTACTACCTGCAGGGCACTGATTTTAGGAATATAATAAGTTGACTCAATTTTTACATTCCTTGGAATGATTTGAACTAAACTGAAATATTTATCAAGAATAAAAGGGGAGGAACTGTAAACTTGTTCTATGTGAATAACTTGTACAAGTGTGTATTTTAATTTCAAGCAACTTTTCTACAACAGTTGTTTAAGAGTATGTAATATAATATTGTAACTCACATGATATCTACCATAAGCAGTAAAAGTAGTTATACTCACAGTCATTATAATCAACTAAGTAATGTTTAAACAACCAGATAGCATGTACATTCATGGAACCTGACATATTGGAAATACAAGGGATTCTGTACCGAGTTAATGGGAACACTAAATTTTAACAGAAACTTGTTTAAAATATTACCTATATATTAAATATCCAAGAATTACACTAATTTGAAATACTGAACAGAGCATAAACCTTTTCTAAATACATTCACATCAAAGAACACTTCAAATAATACACTAACGTTAATGTACATACAAAACAGACCAAATCCTATTCACACTTTTAAAGGTAAAATGATACATAATTAACATTTGAATTAAAATTCAGGAAGCATATGCTATGTAATCATTATAAGGGTCCTTTGTACTCCCTTTTTATCCCAATAAATCATGATTTTAAAAAATTCTGTTAGTACTGTTAGTAAGTCATAAATAGTTTAAGAATATAGCATAAAATTGGAACATGTCATTCTTTCCTCAATAAAATATAATGTACACAAAATATGAGGCATTGTCTCATTCGTGTAGGAAATGAGTTAGTTGACTTACTGTGAAAAGTGAATTCATTTTAAAGGAAAAATTACTCAAAGCAATGATGTATATTTAGTAATTTAATGCTAGAGAAATAAAACAGACTTATTTAAATAAGTTACTCTAGCAACCTCACATTTTTCTTAGGTAGTTTCAAAGTTGAGATAAAATCTTTTTGAAATCTCCTATCTCAATCGTTGTTTCCACCCTCATATGACTGGAATTATGTTTCGTAATATAAGAAATATCAATATACTTTTTTTCAAAATATCAGGGAGTATAAAGAACTTTACATTCTCCTTTTGACAGATAAAAATAGAAAGGACCTCTTTCTTTGAAAATATTTATGGAAAAAGAAAACATTATTACAACAAAAATAACTTTTTTTCTTTCTTTCTTTCTTTCTTTTTTTTTTTTTTTTTTTGAGACGGAGTCTCGCTTTGTCGCCCACGCTGGAGTGCAACGGCACGATCTCGGCTCACTGCAACTTCCGCCTCCTGGGTTCAAGCAATTCTCCTGCCTCAGCCTCCCGAGTAGCTGGGATTACAGGCGCCCATTACCACGCCCGGCTAATTTTTGTATTTTTTAGAAGAGACGGGGTTTCGCCATGTTGGCCAGACTGGTCTTGAACTCCTGACCTCAGGTGATCCACCCGCCTCGGCCTCCCAAAGTGCTGGGATTACAGGTATGAGCCACCACACCCAGCCAAAAATAACTTTTTAATAATTAAAAGGAGTGGAACAGCATGAGTACAATCAACATAAAAACCTAGTAAAATTATTTTCTATCACTGAACATTTTTTTCTTTTTGAGACAGAGTCTTGCTCTGTCACCCAGGCTGGAGTGCAGTGGCGCCATCTCGGCTCACTGCAAGCTCCGCCTCCCGGGTTCACGCCATTCTCCTGCCTCAGCCTCCCGAGTAGCTGGGACTACAGGCGCCCGCCACCACGCCCAGCTAATTTTTTGTATTTTTAGTGGAGATGGGGTTTCACCATGTTAGCCAGGATGGTCTCAATATCCTGACCTCGTGATCCACCCGCCTCGGCCTCCCAAAGTGCTGGAATTACAGGCGTGAGCCACCGCGCCCGGCCCACTCAACTTTTAAGCAGAGTGGTGGGTAATAAAAATGATTTTCTCAGCAATATTATGTTAGTCAATATTTTCAAAACACTGAACCAGAGTGTTTTGGTTTTGTTTTTTGTTTGTTTGGGGTCTTAAAAATGTCTCTTGCCCTGGATACCTTTCAGAGAGTAGTTTGGCTAGTTCAGCTCACTTCCAAACTCCTGGAGATAATGTTTTAATTATTCAACAATCAGACAGGGCAAGTAATTGCATGTTTCATGACTGATATATTAACCATAAGTGTATACACCAAGACAGCCTTATATTACATCATGGCTGTTGATTCAGAGCAAACAGAGAAACAGCATGAGAGTACTCTGTTATTGCGCTGCACTGTCTCTTCCATAAATTTTAAATTTCCATTGCCAGATTACAGCTAAAGAAAGCACAAGGTTCACTAGGACATCATTTTTAAGATGATTTTTGCTTGCTTTTATAATGGGAAATCTAGATTACAAAATTAATGATCTTAGCCTAATTTTGAAATCACAATCATTGAAATTTTTTGGAAGGGGAATGGAATTTTGTTGTTCCTAGAAAGTTACATCTCACTGCAGATTTCAATAGTTCATGTCCTGGAATCAGTCTAGGACAAGAAAAATAACAGGTTATCAAAATCAGATGGTTGTGTTCTAGGAGTTTCATTTGCCAAGCATGCTTCATGGTTAAAATTTGCATTACCAAAATATAAATGCAGAATCAAAGTTACTGAATTTTACAATAGCGAATACCAATCCTATTCCAAGCTAACTCAGACTGCAATTATCATTTCAAATCCATGTATCATATCTACAGGATGGTTTCATGCATGAATTAGAACTGTCTAAAGTTTTCACCATTCATTCACCTCATTTCTGAAACTGAAAGACTATTCCAACTCAAATCACAGAAACTTGTAAGGTTTTTTGTTTGTTTGTTTGTTTTTTGGAAAATGATGTACCCCAAATACTTGTCTTAGACAGTGACTGGAAGACCTTCAAAAATTCTACTTTCATTTTTATTCTCCTCTCTATTTTTTTTAAAATGTATAGTCTTCACAATATTTAATGGGTGAATTGTATTAAGCAAGACTTGGTTTTGGCAGTTTATCTCTTTTATATGACATTGATCAAAAGTGATTTTAAAATAATTATTTATACTTATGGTTTCTCTAGTGTCATAACAACCAATTGCTATCTGCTTGCTTTGGAAGGTGTTAATAGAAGATAATGTGTAGCCTCATCCTCTCAAATTTCATGTTTTTAAAATTTCTACTACAATGTATACAAAAATGCCTTCCATAATACATGTAGAAACTTATGCCAAAGACGACCATTATATTCCCCAGGTATAGATGGCTTTATGCAATATACGTACTCCTATCTAATAAATGTTCCATATATTTTCAGAACATCCAAGTCAGAAAAACAACCTATAGAATGATCAAGGAGAATGAGAAATTATGAGAACTAGAAAGTATTTGATTCCCTTTATAAAACATAAAATTTCAGATGAATTCCCTTGTCTCTTATAGTCTACTAGAACATTTTATTTTCCACTTTCCTGTTTCTATACAGATGAGTAATGAACTAACTGTAAATATTCCCCAAACCCTCATTTTGAAAATGCATTTCTCACTGTTTAAAATAAATTGGAATAATTCTGCCTTCTGCTAACAGTAATATTTTATTCCACTCTAAGTATTTCCTTAAGGAACAATGAATTTGTATTGTATTGGCTGTCACTTCTCCCATTTTGTATGATATTTCTTTAAAAAGAAGACACCTACTGCATTTGAATTTTTAAATACATAATTTCTTTTTCAGTGCTCAGTTATTTTGCTAGCATTCTGCAACATCAGTGAACACCCTAACATTAAACACAAATTGAAGAGCATATAGAAAAGGTAAAGAACATTGCAAATGTAGCACAAAATGTAAAGATTCAAATTATTTTTAGTATCATATTAGTCTGCCTAAGTTCACCAATTCATGTCTTGAAGATATTTAGTAACGAATATGAAACAACTGTGAACCAATAATAAAATATATAATTTATTTACTTTTTAAGCTGTGAAATAATAAGTCATCTGCTAATTCAATGATTCTAAGATAGTCCTTTCAGTTAATAAAAACCTAATAACAACCAATAACTGATTCTCATTAGCATTTACTTTTTTGTATTTTGACTAATTCTTATGATTCAGAAAATGTCTCTTAGTTATATGATATAAAATGTGTCATGGAAAAAGTTTATTATTTTTAATGACTTTTTAGGATTACAAAATATTTTTAAAAAAACAAAAAAGTGAGGATATTTGAAAAATACTTCAGTTTTTTGTTCTTCATCCATGCCCTCCTTGCTATGTGTTCATAAACTCAAGTAAAATCAGTCTAGCTCATAAAATATCTCTGTGCCTTCAAAAAGCACTGAAACCAGAACTTGCTTTATTAATTAACTTCATTAACTCTGTTAAAAATGATGATCTACATACGTAATTCACAAACCCACTCTTTGTACATTTCTTAAAGAAAGTCACAAATTAAACCCAGGAAAAAATGTTATTATACCCAAATCATGTAGTGTTAGTCATAAAAGATACTTTTATGTTGAGAAACTTATCCAATAAGCAGAATAGCAATAAGAATTTGAAAATGAGAGTGCCCTTTTTAATGGTTAAATATAAACAAAAACACACCCTGTGGAGATGTTCGACATCTCTTAACATTTGTTGCCCATCCCAGATCCACTAACTATGTAAAATATGGGATTCATCTAAACTGTAGAAATAACAACTGCAGCGTAAATTCTTTTAAAGTCTAACAGAAGCTCTCTATACAGACACTAGGGTTCTAGTTTACCTTTTGAAACAGCATTTAATTGTGTACCTACTGTAACAAAAATGCACCCACATCTGAATTAGTACCTTACGTTCACTGTGTGATTCAGAGAGAAAAGTTAATGTTATCGTATTATATAACTGCGCTTATGCTTGAATGACCTCCATTCTTAAACCCATTTCCAAAGTTATGGTAAACTATTTGCATTGCTATCTTGAATCCAGTAGCCTTCTTTAATATCTCGAACTTTTGGTGAAAGAAAATCAGTTTTGATTTTCACATTGCTACTATTTTGTTAAGCCTGAATAGGTGTTCAAAAGACTTTATTCCCTGAAACTAAGATTAATACTTTTTTAAGAGTTAACACAAACAAAATAATAAACTCAACATGTAGCATGACTTCGAGAAAAATATGTGGGTAAATTCCATTGCTTGTATTTTTAAAGGGAACAATTATATTTAAATCATTCAACATTTAAGAGTTTCTGGATAAATTTGTATTCATTTCTTCATGGAACACTGATAAAAGGCACTGGATAAACTCTTGCTTTCATAAATGTATTGGGTTTTAAGTTATTGTGCACAGATTTCTTGGGTCTTAATATGCCCACAGTTTTCTTTGTGCCCATTAGAGAAAGCAAGCATTTTATTTTCCAAAAGTTATTATCTTTTAAGAATGTCTTCTGAAGGGCTCAAAATACCTTGCATAAATATGCAAATATTTAAATAGCTATCTAAAGTAGAGACCTCATATATATTTCATTCTCTGGCTTAAAGATGAGAATGAGTAGGCTTTCATTTTTCTAATCCCATTCTTGTTATATTGTGTTACTGTAGATTTGATGCACCAAAATAATTTTGAGTTCCTAATCTGAAAACGACACTTTTCTTTATGAGGACCTGAAGGCCTGGTAGAGTATGGGGGGAATATCTTGGTGCTGAATTTCTGTGAACAGCCACAGATTTTCCCAAGTGAAGCTAGGCTTCTCAATATCATTAGTATTTAGAGCTATTTATCAGATTCTGAAAAGCTTTAATGTGATGTATCTAGCCCAGACTATTCTGATCCTCATGCCCACAATGGTACTGAGGACAGTGCTACAACCCTTTGTGTTGAAGTTTTTTTCAATATATTTTCTAGCAAGAATTGTCATACTGCCATCTACAGACAAAATTGCCCCTACTATAATTATTATTCTGCATCCAATTTTCCTAAATCAGTAGTTATTTTGTTCTCATCTTCTACCAAACTTAATTGAATCCATATATCTATTGGGTACATCTGTAGAATATGATTGTTTTGATCCCTCTTTGAAGTCAATAGATTTTGTAAAGTTCTACATCAACTGAAAATAATAATAAAAAAATAGTTAGAAAGTTGTGTTAGAAACTTGGATACCTACCGGTCTGGTGTGTACGGACACAGGTACCTCGAAGGTTGTCACTGGATAGCCACAGTCAGAAACGCTGTAGGGATCTGAACTGCTTGAGGAACAATTGGAGATAGAGTCACAGGCCACAAAGGTGTTATCGAGAGGCAGTTCTTGGATGATGTGGTGCTTCAAATTCAGGGGAGTTTCAGGCTGAATTTGGAAGGCAGGCTGTGGAGAGGCAGATTTGTAGTGTCGGGCCAAATCAGGGCTGTCAGGCTTGAAAGTAGTAGGTGTAGTTACCCAATTGTACTTTCCCATTGTTTGCTCTTCTAGATCAATAGGAAGGTCTAGTGTGACTCTGTTTCCATCACTGTCAACATCATCTGCCTTAGTTTCTTCAATAGTGACAACATTAAGCAGCAGGTTCTTAGGGGAATGCTTCTTCTTCTTTTTCTTTTTCTTCATCATTATCATCTGCCTGTTTTCTGGGTTTGGGGTAGCCCATTCAGAATTCTGCATGTTTTTCTGAGCAGCCTTAAGGTGTGGTGCCTGGCGACATCTTACTACAGCAGTGATGAAAATAACTACAACGACAGTTATGGTGCCAGCAACAGCTGCAACCAGGATCTTGACATAGTCACTAGTTGGTGAGGATACATCAGCTATCTCAGTATTTGGGGTCACTGGTGCTTCAATGCTTTTGCGCACCAGTTCATTAATCAGTGTAGCATTGGTCACTGACTCATTCACGAACAGATTGACAATTACAACACTGAAGAGAGAATCAGGCTGTCCTAAGTCATTAGCTTTGACCAACACTCTGTGTAAACCAAGGTCTGTAACATCACATTTCTCCATCAATGTTATGTTGCCTGTTTCTTGGTCGATTGCAAACAGATCTCTTGTGTTTCCTCCTACAATGCTGTAACGAACCTCTGCATTCATGCCAGTGTCATTGTCAACAGCAATTACCTGAAAGACCACTGTGCCTGGATTAGTGGACGGTAGAACCAATTCATAAGAATAGTTGTAAGGAGGGACAATGAAAACTGGTTTGTTGTCATTGACATCAACCACATTTATGGTTACTTTGGCACTTGAAG
Organism: Homo sapiens; assembly: GCF_000001405.40. Lineage (NCBI taxonomy): Eukaryota > Metazoa > Chordata > Mammalia > Primates > Hominidae > Homo > Homo sapiens. The sequence continues at coordinate 5,099,634 of NC_000024.10, read as the reverse complement.
AACGTGATACTCTACCACCATCCTCAGCCTTTACATAGAAAGTGTAAGATTCTTGTTTTTCTCTATCAAATGAAATATTTGGTCGGATGACACCAGTTTGTGAATCAATGGTGAAGTCATCATTCTCATCTAAAATGGAGAGCGTAACTGCAGAATTGTCTCCATAATCAGGATCAGTTACAGTGATTAGTCCTACTGTACCATGCCTTGGAAGGTTTTCTGGGACATAGAATTTGTATTCATTGTGAGTGAAAACTGGGCTATTGTCATTCTGATCAATAATGCTTACAAAGACTGTGACATTGCTGGTTAAGGGTGGTACCCCATTATCTTTTGCCAGAATTGTGAATAAATATTTATCCTCTTTTTCTCTATCTAGTTTCTTCACTACAGTCAGCATGCCTGTACGACGATCCAGGCTGAATTCAGGTGGAGCATCAGGGCCTAGCAGGTAATTGATCTCAGCATTAGGCCCACTGTCTGCATCCGTTGCACTTACTTTCATCAACTGGATGCCAGGAGAGTTATTCTCAGGAATAGAAACAGTTACGAAAGACTGGGTGAAAACTGGAGCATTGTCATTTTCATCTTTCACTTTGATGAAGAGCATTGCTGACTGATTCAAAGGAGGTTTGCCAGCATCTGCAGCCAGTAATTTAATGGCATATTCTTTTGTGGACTCATAGTCAAGATATGCTGCATTCTCCAGGAGGAACTGATTACTGAATACTGGCCTTAATCTGAAAGGAATTTCATGATCTGTGAAGCATGTCACCCTGCCATTATGGTCCGCATCCTTATCCGTCACAGTTATGAGAGCAATTTTGGTGTTGAGTGGAATATTTTCTGAAAGAACAACTGTGTCATTGACAGGATTGACGATGTATCTTATGTCAATGGATGGGACATTATCATTGACATCTGTAACATTTACCAGCACCATTGCTCTTGCTGGCATCAATCCACCATCACTTGCCAAAACCAGTAACTTGTGGTTTGGTGTTTCTTCCCTATCCAGTGGTTCTTTGATTGTGATAAGTCCAGTGGTGGCATTGAGGTGAAATAATCTCCTGGCAATGTTGGAGACTAGATTGCTGAAAGAGAAGTGGATCTTGGCATTTTCACCTATGTCAGCATCTGTGGCATGGAGCTGTGTCACTGAAGTGCCTACAGGAGCATTTTCTGGTATACTGACTTCAATCTCTGTCTCCTTAAAGACTGGGTGGTTGTCATTTGTATCAGTAACACTTACTTGCAAAATAGCAGTACTGGATCTTTGAGGAAAGCCACCATCTTCAACCTTTACTTTCATCACATAGGTATCCTTCTCTTCCCTATCTAACTCCTTTTGAACAATCAGTTGTGGCATCTTGTCTCCTTCTGGTGTTTCAATGACATCGAGGCCAAAAATGTTTTGACTCTGGAAAACATGCAATGAAACAGAATTAACTTATGTTAATATAAATTAATATATTAATATTAATGTGAATAATAAAATATAATTTAACTTATGTTAGCTTATCTAATGAGAACAATTTTCAGTTTCTTGAAGCCACATAAAATAATGGGATCAGTTCAGAAATAGGTGCCAGAAGACTTCAGTTCTAAGTCTCAACTCTGCCTATAACAAATATCGTGATTACAAGCAAGTTACTTTACTTTTCTTGATATTTGTAAAATTAGAGAACTGTACTAGAAGATGTTCTGGGGACAGGAGGCTTCAGATTGTAGCATTTTATGGTAATATATGTAACTTATTTATGTGAGCTATTTAAGTTTTTTTAAATTATGTGAACTATTTCAGTTTTTTTAATTAATTAATTTTTTATTTCATTTTTCCATAAGTTATTGGGGTTCAGGTGGTATTTGGTTACATGAGTAAATTCTTTAGTGGTGATTTGTGAGATTTTGGTGCACCCATCACTGGAGCAATATACACTCCACCATATTTGTAGTTTTTTATCCCTCACCACCTTCCTTCTCTTTCCCCAAAGTCCCCAATGTCCATCGTATCATTCTTATGCCTTTGCGTCCTCATAACTTAGCACCCATATATCAGTGAGAACACACAATGTTTGGTTTTCGAACTATTTAAGTTTTCAAAAGAAAAAAGTATATAGAATTTTAAAAAGAATTGTCACTAAATTTTTGCAAGATAAATGAAGCTGTAAGTGAATTATCCAAGATTATTCCAAATGAATTAAAATATTTTTTACTGTAGATTTCAGTTGCCTAAGATGCTTTTTCAGTACCAAAGTAAGCACCGAAATAAAAATATTCCTCCAAGACAACATCATAAGTATCATATCTAATAAATACAGCTAAAACCTTTAGCAGATGGAAAAAAAATACACAAACTGGTTAAAATATAAATTTGTATAAAATACAAAGAATTTCAATATTTCCCATAGGAACACACAGTTAAAATGAAATTATCTCAGAGATTAACAATGCAATGTTATTTTCTTACTTTTTTTTTTTTTTTTTTTTAACATGCAAGCACAAGGAACTAAAATTCACAGGTCAAGATCTCAAATTGAAAAAGGTAGCTTCGGATAGGACCTATTTTCAATTCATGCCCACAAAGTCACAGTATGGGAATATTTAAAAAACAATCCCCTCGGCCGGGAGCGGTGGTTCACGCCTGTAATTCCAGCACTTTGGGAGGCCGAGGCGGGCGGATCACGAGGTCAGGAGATCGAGACCATCCTGGCTAACACGGGGAAACCCCGTCTCTACTTAAAAAATACAAAAAAAAAAAAAAATAGCCTGGCGTGGTGGTGGGTGCCTGTGGTCCCAGCTGCTCAGGAGGCTGAGGCAGGAGAATGGCATGAACCCCAGAGGCGGAGCTTGCAGTGAGCCGAGATGGCGCCACTGCACTCCAGCCTGGGCGACAGAGTGAGACTCGTCTCAAAAAAAAAAAAAAAAAAAAAAAAAAAAAAAAAATCCCCTCCCTGTACTACAATAAGATGATCCCTACACACAAACGTAGTGATCTTGCCAGCTCACCGAGGAGAAATGAGAGAGGAGGATTCCTGTCCAGTGTTACTTGCAGCATTATGACAGAGATGAATGAGATAAAAAGGTACTGGAGGGTATGAAGAAAAGATCGGAGGAGGACTTTAAGATTCCTATTCATGGGTGATTTATGAACAGATACACACACACACACACACACACACACACACACACACACGTACATCTAAATAATTTTTAATTCTCTACTACATTTTTAACATACATGTTCTGGACAAGTGGCATGGATTGGTTATTGATCTCTCATTTATGTGCTGTATCATAAAAGAACAGGATAAGATCTGAGGTTATAGTTTTGTCATACCACTGTCTAAAACAAGATCCTAAAAATTAGAACCTAATAAATAATACCAGGTTTTCAGAGACTGCTAGAATATATGATCAGTTTATAAATGTATTTCAATCACATTATCTTTAAAAAATTTACCTGTCTTATAATTGCCTATATATAGTCTTAAACAATATCCAAATGCATCTCATTTTTTCCTCTTATGAATTACTTGAAGATATTTCTGCAAACTTTCAGATTTTGGGGGGGTGCTGAGATTCACTTATACTTTTATTCAAATGCAGTGCCATAATATATCTTTGTGGAGGAATTAGATGTTTATTACAAAATTTAAGATGGCATTTCAGAAATATTAATTAAAATCATTAGTTTGTTCCAACGTTATTTAAAAAAACATTTCACAAGAGCTAACCAAAGTATATTAGTTATTTTGTTTTTAATTCATACAATAAACGTGAGCATTCTATTCCTATTTTACTCAGATAGAGCAATAATCAACCTGGCTTTTCCTTGATTATATAGTAAGAAAAACATTTTCATGTTATACGTATTTATATTTGAAAATTAGCAAGCAAAATCTATTATTTGATATACTGCATATTTTAAGAAAAAATAGAATTTCATGACAACATTGAATGTAAGTAAATACCATAACATACTACTATAATTTGATCTAAACAAATTTAGTGATTAATGATAATTTAATTTTTGTAATGATATTCTAAGAGGTTTTTAGGAAGGTTCAAATCCAAAATGTCTATTTATGGGTAGAAAAAATAGTTTCTAAATTGTACTTCATAAAATCCATGGCACTTAATACTATTCTTTTAATCCTTGACATTCCAATACTGAGTGGCTAATATAGTGAGAGCATTCTCCTAGATGCCAAGGTTATGGTGGTGAGTAAACATATTTTACTAATGTGATAAAAGGTAAGTTCTAGTTAAGGTGAAAGAAAAATCAATAACTATGGATTTAATGATGGTATTGACACTAACGGATTTACATTAAGAGAATCACTACATTTTTAATAAGAGCTATAAGGGGAAATTGTAAGTTATTATTAGAGGTTGCATAAACAGAAACAAAGATAATATAATATAAAAAGAACAAGGAAAATGTTCCAAAGTTCTTAAGTTTCGGAGCCAACTATCCAATTTATGAATACAATACATCTGGGAAAACGAATATGTAAGTTTTAATTTTAAAATTTATGTATTTATGTTTGTGCATTTCTTGTTTATATATTTAGGTTTTACTTTTATGTGTTTGTCTGAATTTTGAGTTGGCCTTTGCTTTCCAAAGCAAATTAAGGCAAGCTTGTGTCAGATGAAAAATCCAAGATCAGCATACTCACTGTCTTTTAATTACTTTATGTGAAATGGCAATAATCTTAAAAATATATTTTTCTAACTCTCAAGGTGATAATGAAATGTACATATTAGTTAATGGATAATGTCACCATTGCTATTCTGTGTTTCACAACTACTCTGTTCAATATGATGGTAATTAGCCCCAAAGGAGCATTTAAATTTAGATTTAAATTAAATGAATTAGATTAATTTAAAACATCAGTTCCTACTTGCACTACCCATATTTTAAGTTCTCAACAGCTCCATGTGGCCAGTAGCTACTACGTTGGACACTGCAGATGTAGAACATTTTCATTATTGCACAAATTCTATTCAACTGTACTATCCTAAGACATCATGTTTTTCTTTAAAAAGAATCTATGATTAGCCAGGTGATTGCATGCATAACCCCCATTTTTCCAGATTTTTAGAGTTCTACAAAGACTTGCTGAGCAAACATATTTAAACTTAATATTGTCCACGGGATTTGAACAGGAGTTGCCCACAGGTTAAGACATAAATAATTTTCAACAAAATTTTGGTGAGATATCTAAGTTGACGTCAAAGTATAGTACCAACATGAGCTTACTATTATTACTGAATGATGATTCCAAGACTGTTTTCTGTTCAATCTCCTTCAGGAATAAAGAATAACTAACACATGAATCCAACATCAGTCCTACCCCAAATGTAGTTAGTTCAACTGAGCTCACATCCACATGAGCAATTAAAAAACTGAAGCCTTTTGCCATATGTTTGACCATGACAGCAGGACAGTGAGAAAAATGAAAAAGAAGATAAAACATATGGCTCCTTAATTCATCATCTCCCTATCTTCAGCATCGACACATCCTTATATACAAAAAAGTTAAAAGTTTGGAAGAATTGACCTGCACTACCCTGAATTCCAAATCCACTTAAAATTATTTATTTCTGTGTATAGGGGCAAACTCTCTATGTGTATATCTCTAGGTACGCCTTCATATACTAAGTAATATGGCATGAAGCTTTGTTTAAATGTATAATATCTAAAGATATAGCACCTGGCATATGTGAACACATTCAGAAAACATTTGTTAGATAAATAAATGCACGAATTAAAGTAGTGGCTCTTATTTTAAAAGATAAAAGAAGAGCAGAATTTGGTTGTTGTTAATTCTCAGTCTGTATAGGCACAGGAATACTCTATAATTGTTGACTTGGGTTTTTTTTTTTGTCTTTTATTTTAATAAAACTGTCCAGAAAACAATTTCAAAATTATTTCCTGAAACAACTACTTCTTTTCTGTTCAAAAATGTAATAAAAGCCAAAGTGTCAATTGCTAGTAAAATTTTACAACCTAGTTGTAAAACTTGATTTTCAGAATAAATTATGACAAATACTAAGTGTGGTATGTAGCCAGTGCATTATTGAAAAGATGCAAAACCCTACATCTGTCAAACACGGATACGTGTGATCAACAAAGAAAACAAAAATCAGGGAAGAAAATAATATATAAGAACTGCATGCAAGAATCATTTACACATGATATGTTGATTTTTGGATTCTGATATCTGAAATGGCATTGATCTCTAGTATACAAAAGTGCCAATTCAGGTTGAGGTCATGAAAAATGTATGGACTTTCTAATAACCTCATCCTAATAACCTTCATTTGTGAGTGATATTTCTTCCTAAATTCAAAAATAAGCTTTAGGATTGCAAACCCAAGACAAAAACTGCTAAAATAAACAAGATAAAGCCCTTCTGAGACTTTAATTCTTTGTGGAGATTTGTAAAATCAAAAAAGAGAAAGTTGATGTTGGATGTGAAATTTGCAAGAGAAGTTTTTTTTTCTTTTAAAAAATTGATAAAGGATATTCATTGCCAAATAGAGAGCCATATATTTTGTCTATTGTCCTGGGAAAGAATTAACAAGACAACTGGAGAAAACTTTAACATTTTTGACACATGCATGTGCAAGACACCACTTCATTGCCTATTGGAAGGCAATAAATAACACAGCACTTTTAGAGCTATAAATCTGGTACAGTTGCCCAGAAAATGCATACAGTGCCAGTAAGTACTAAAAATAGTTCCAAAGAGATCTAGTTCTAAAACTGATTAAAAGCCATTTACTCTTTAGATCGAGGAATGCTGGTGGAAAGACTCAAAATTTATTTCTGACTTTCACCACTGCTTGATTTATCAATAACTAACCTGATATTTAATTTTTTTTCACTTTTCTCTTAGTATTACTGATACATCTTTGGGCCACAGGAATGCAAGAACATAGATTCAAATGGATAACACTACAATAAAATGGCTGTTTTAGAAAACACTAAGGAAATACTTTAATACACATTGAATATTCTCAATACAGATATAATAAGTATTATCATAAATTCACTTTCATTCCACTAAAAATTCTTGGTTTGCTATAGGCTGTCTAAAACTATTAGGGGGAAAAGCAACTGTTGCTTATATATTCAATACTGTGGTGCCTTTTAGAGTCTATGCACTACTTCTAGAACATTTATTTCAGAATTCATTTGTAGCCTTGTCAAGGGAAATACAATAAAAAATGGATTACAATAAAATGTCCCAAGCCGTTAGTCACATATCTGCCGATAACCCTAATGTCAGCCAGTCCCTCGCTACTTTAAAGTCATACTAAGGAAAGGAGAGTGATGTGTAAGAAAACACCATCTCTCTTTGGGTGAGAAAACACCATCTCTCTTTGGGTGAGAAAACACCATCTCTCTTTGGGTAAGAAAACACCATCTCCCTTTGGGTAAGGAAACACCATCTCTCTTTAGGTAAGAAAACACCATCTCTCTTTGGGTAAGAAAACACCATCTCCCTTTGGGTAAGAAAACACTATGTCTCTTAGGAAGAAATAAGTTTACATTAAAATATTAATAATAGTATTGTTAATTTTGATAAAGCCACATACAAGGTTTAAGATATTATACATGGATTTTTTTTCCCACTAGGACTTAGCAAAACCTATTTTGTAGAACAGTACTATTCATAGCATGTGGTTCTTTTTTTTAAATGGTAGTCCAAAGAATAGGAATTTCTGTGATTGATTTTTTTTCCCTATTTTGTCAGATTTCAAAATTAAGAACAGATTCTTGAAAATGATAGAATTTTTGTACTAAGTTCTGTTTTAATGTGTACTTCCCCCAACTTTGTTTTTATAAGAAAATATATAATAAATACCATTTCATTTTTTCTGGCCTTGTGTTCACTATCACTACTCTGGTTTCTCCATCTGAGAGAACAATCAAATGATTTTATTACGTTAAAATTTGAAATATGCACTCAGATTGAAATGTCGTAAAGTGTTAATTTAAATTCACAATGTTTTAAGCTGGAACAAAGGAGATTTAATTGAAGACATCAGGGTTGTTATATCCACGAGAACAGTGAAGCACATCTATTTTTCGGGTCTCCATTTTTTTAGTCTATTCTTCCCTTGATTTTGAAAAGTCAGCTTTTGGCTTTCAGAGAGAAAGGAAAATCTTAAACATATGACTTAATGTGAAGTATAGAAATGAAACACAAGATATAATCTGATTAATTCTGTAAACATCCTAGGAGGAACCAATCATTTTTTACTAGCATGCATAATAATTCAGAATTCTCTTTTTTACTTGTTTCATTTGCTTGTGCTCACATGTGCACTTGCATTCTCTATCTCGCTCTTTGACTCTATCTCTGTCTCGCTTCAGATTCTAAAACCTGCAATGGCTAAGCATGCCTTATACTACAGCAAAACTCTTTAATATTATGCAAATGTTTAAAATACAAATTGGCCTTGACCCAGAGATTTCATTTATTTGAAAATATTTCCTTTTAAAGACTGTATTTCAAGCATGTAATTTTAATCACTAAATGCTTTTAATTGGGAAGATATGCAATACAAATGAAATGCCACTCCTAATTGTTGCTAATCAGCTCTTTTTAGCAGCTGCTCTCTTGTGCTTAAGTTAGATGAGCTGCATTCATAACAAAAATATAGGATATTCAACCACTGAATACTAGTACTAGAAAAGACTTCAGATATCATCTAGCCTTACTTCTCCTCTTATGAAAAGGACACTAAGACACAGTAAGGTTAGGTGACTTGCCCGTGATCACACAGCTGGTTTATTACAGAACCCGATTTGAAAGCCAAGTCTCTTAGTTTTTAGTTCAAGGATTTTTTCACTGAAATATGGTTACTTCTCAAAAGGAAGTCCTTTTGATGCTGGCAAGAACTCTGTATTCTGCAGAGCTCTCAGTATGAGAAACTTATCAGGTAATTACTGCCCAAAAAGAGCAAAAGCAAAACAAAAACTATTGTGTTTTCTGATCCCAGAATATTGAGCTACTGATAAAAAGATTTCTTCCCTGCTCCCTTCAAAACTACCACCCCTAAAAGTAATGTTTATTGAAAAAAGAAACCAAAGAAATACCATCTAAAATTTTAAGAGTATATAATTAAATACAATTTTAACTTGCCCATTTAAGAATATGAATAAATATTGAGTGCTATTATTTCTATGTATAAATTGAGTCAGGTTCTCAAAATAAAATTCACCGTTACTATTCTTCAATAGCTGGTATAAAGTATTTTACATTTCTTAGAAGATTTTCTTAAAAATTTCTTGTAAAAAGGTCCTTTAAGAACATTGTAAGAAAAGTCCAAAAGCTTTTTATGTTGCAGGTGTACTTTATCTGAACTATTGTTTTAAAGAAGCAGGGTAATGATCTAATGGTAAATTTTAATGAAAACTTGTGATTAGCTTAAACTTTAAAAAATCAGTAATCAAAAATGAAAATATGATCTTTCACTAATAGACACTGCTATAAACCTAACTGATTGCTTATTAATATCAGGAAAATAAAACTAAAGTTGCTTCTGGTTCATTGTATGTCAGCGAAAACCTCAGGTAAAGGAAGTCAGTAATAATACAACTTCAAGAAGGGAAAATAGTGCTAAACATTTAAGATCATATGAAGGTGTTTTATCTTTTAAGTCTCAGGACTTCTTGGGTGCTTCTAACTCTGATTGGTTCTACCTTCTAAATTGATAAAAGACCTCAACCAGTTTCTTTTGGATCTACTATCATCAAAGTCCAGAAATCTCCTTTTCTCCAAAAGAAGATTTCAGTTTCTCTATCACATAAGAAGGCCATTTCTTCTGTGTCTCATGGCCTCTGACTATTGATTAAATGGACGTCATAATAAAGATGGTGGCAAATTTTGGTGAGAGAAGTTTGGTAAATGACAAATTTGTCTGTGGATCACATTCTTTTGGAAATGGGTAAGCATTGTAAGAATAGTTCGTATCTTTTGCTCTTTAATGCAAATACTTTCAAATTGGCAGTAACGAGTCAGAGATGGCTCATTCTAATCAAGTCCCTGGTGAATAATTGGAAGTCATTAATGCTATAGTGGGTGAATGACAGAATCTTGTGGTAGATTTTTTGTTGTTGTTGTTATTTTTGGTCACTAAAACATTGGACACATATATGAATGAAAGTCCCAGATTTCTCAGTGACCTGGTTTTTGAGAAGTAGGATGTAGCCCAAGTAGAATCAAACCTCCACAGGCAGGGCTGGGAAGCTGAAGGATGGCATGGGAGAGGCAGCAAACTTGGGTCTTTTTTCCCTTGAACATTTCAAACAGATCAAAAATTTTTTCCCAGTGGAGGCAAAGGACTGGGAATCATAGACGTGTCTTTTTTTATAAATCTGGATTTTAACTAAAATGCATATTCTTCTTTGTTGGAGGTAAGACTAGTCAAGGAATGGGGAGTATGGGATAGTCGTGATATGTCTCCGGGATAAGTGATAATTGAAGTAAAAAGAGAAAAGTTTAGGGCAGAAAATACGAGGCCATGCACAGAGAGGCTAAAGAAAGCTTCAGGTAAGTCCATTTATAAGGTCTATCCAGTTGGCCTGACACCATGGGATATATCTGGAGATGTTAAAAGGGCCTTACCTCTGACTCATACTTTCCTGCTTTAATTTAGGGGGAGGCAGAATTCATTGCCATTTGTCCTAATAGTTTCTGTTTCTGTTTTAGAAGAAAGTACCATGTCTTCTGAGATGATTTCTGACTCTTCATTAGCTCTGACTCATCTTAAAACAACTCATTGATAGGAAAAATGCCACCAATTTTCTGTAAGCATAACTACTGTTTATATATTTAGGGAGTCTTTACCTACTCAAATTTACTAGAAGTATTTCATATTTCTAGTTAAGATACTATGCCCCATAGCAACGAAACTAGGAGTGATTTAAGTTATGTTTGGTATCAAGTTGAATTAAGAGAAACAATGATATTTTTGTACTACTAGTGATTTTTTTCTTCAAGTGCCGTGAATATAACACACTTTAATCAGGGCATCAATACAATATAATCTCTAACCTCCATCCAGAGATTAATAACATGTATGAAATTACACCAACATTAATTAAAATGATGTATTGAAAGTCAGAACCAGTATTTTATGGCACAATATTCAGCAACCATGTAAGTCATTCGAATAACTAAAATTTCCATTAATATCCAATTAACCAATTCTTTACAGACTCAGCAAGTGACAAGCTTAAAGACACTGGTCCCAGTTTTGCTCAATGAAACACAGACATTTTTAATGATTGATAGCAGTTTAGATAAAAATGATTATGGGTGGTTGGTCAGAAATATTTTTTCATATGCCACAATACTAAAAGAAAAAAAATACCATAATGAAAGACAGAGCAAGATGGCAGAATAGAAGGTTCCACTGATCATCCTCCCCACAAGGACACAAATTTAACATCTATCTACAAAGAAAAAACACCTTCATAGGAATGAAAAAATCAGATGAGCACTCATAGTACTTAGTTTGAACCTCATACCCCAAAAGAGGCACTGAAGAGATTAAAAGAAAAAAAAAAAAAGTTGAATCACCGAAGCCACTTCTCCTCCCCCAACTGCTGCAGTGGCCTCATGGTACAGAGAGCTTCTCTGGGCACTGGGGGAGGAAGAATACAGCAATTGTGAGCCACTGAACTCAGTGCTGTTCTGTTAGAGCAGAAAGAAATACCAGACCAAACGCAGCTGACAATCGCCCACAGAGGGAGCATTTAAACCAGCCCTATCTGGTGGGGAACCACTGATCCCAGTGGTCCAAATTTGAATTCTCACAAACCTTGCCACCAAGGGCCAAAGTGCTCTAGGTCTCTAAGTAAACTTAAAAGGCAGCCTAGACCATAAGGACTACAATTCTTAGGCAAGGCCTAAGGCAGAACTGGGCATAGGACAGTGGACTAGGGTGGCATGCAGCATACTGAGACATCAGCTGGGGAAGCATCCCCTGTCCCCTAACCCAAGGCTGCACAGTTCATGGCTCCAAAAGAGACACCTTTCTTCTACTTAGGGAAAGGAGAGGGAAGAGTGAGGATGTCTCTCTTTTACATCCCGGATACCAGCTCAGCCACAGCAGGATAAGGCACTGGATAGAGTCATGAGGCCCCCATTCCAGGCCCTAGCTCCCAGATGACATTTCTAGACAGCTGGCTTCAGGTACCAGCATGGCAACAGGGGAGCAGAGCACCAAGTGGGCTTTTGGGGTCCTCAATTCCAGGACACGACCCTTGGGTAGCATTTCTGGACCTGTGCTGGAACAGAGGGGAGCCCATTACCCTGAAGGGTGAGTCCCATGCCAGGAAGCAATCACCACAAGCTGACTTAAGAGCCTTTGGGTCTTAAGGGAATATCAGCAGTAGTTTGGCAGGACTCCCTGTGGCCTGGGATGGCAGTGGCTACAGGATGAGGCTTCTCTGCCTTTGGAAAGTAGAGGGAAGCAAGGGAAGGATTGCATGTTGTGGTTTGAGTGCCAACTCAGTCGTGGTACAATAGAACAGCAGGGAGACTTCTAAGGTTTTTGACTGTAGTCCCTCACTTCCAGATGGCACCTCTGTACCCACCTGGTCCCAGAGAGACCTTGTTACCCTGAAATGAAAGACATAGACCTAGCTGGCTTTGCCACTGGCTGACTGTAGAGCCACAGGTCCTTGAACAAGGGTGAGACCCAGTGCTGAGCTTGAACTTGGGTGAGACCCAGTGCTGAGCTGGCTTTAGGTCTGACCAGGTGCAGTCATAGTGGTGAAAGCCACAGTGGTGCTTGTGTTACCATATCCCCAACCTTAGGTGGCTCAGAACAGAGAGGGACTCTGCTTGAGAAAAATAAGGGAACAGAACAACAGTCTCTGCCTGGTAATACAGAGAATTCCCTTGGATCTTGTCCAAACCATTGAGGTGGTGCCTCTGTGAGTTTGCAAGAACCACAGTGTTAGTGGGCTTGGAGTGTACCCTAAAGCACATACAGCTTAGATCACAATACCAAAGCCCTTTCAAATACCTGGAAAGCATTCCCAGAAAGGATGGGTATAAATAATTCCAGACAGTGAAGAGTACAATAAATACCTAACTCTTCAATGCCTAAACACTGAAGAACATCTATTAGCACTAACACCATCCAGGAAAACGTGATCGCACCAAATGAACTAAATAAGTCACCCAGGACAAAGCCTAGATAAACAGATATGCAACCTTTCAAACAGAGTTCAAAATAGCTGTGTTGAAGAAACTCAAAGAAATTCAAGATAATGTGGAGAAGGAATTCAAAATTCTATCAGAGAAATTTAACAAAGAGATTGAAATAACTAAAAATAATGAAGCAGAAATTCTGAAGTTAAATAATAAAATAGATACACTGAAGAATGTGTCAGAGCCTTTTAATGGCAGAATGAATCTAGCAAAAGAAAAAGTTAGTGAGCTTGAAGACAGGGTATTTGAAAATACACAGAGGAGACAAAAGAACAAAGAATAAAAAACAACGAAGCATGCCCACAGGATCTAAGAAATATTAGTAGCCTCAAAAGGGCAAATCTAAGAGTGACTGGCCTTAAAGAGGAGGTAGAGAAAGAGATAGGGGTAGAAAGTTTTTCAAAAGAATAATAACAGAGAACTTTCCAAACCTAGAAAAATATATCAATATCAAAGTAAAAGGAAGTTTTACACCAAGAAGATTTAATGCAAAGACTACTTCAGGTAATTAATAATTAAACTCCTAAAGATCAATGATATAGAAAGGATCCTAAAGACAGCAAGAGAGGGAAAATACACACACACACACACACACACACACACACACAATGGAGCTCCAATACGTCTGGAAGCAGGCTTCTCAGTGTAAATCTTACAGATCAGAAGAGAGTGGCATGACATATTTAGAGTGCTGAAGGAAAATAAACTTTTACCTTAAAATAGTATATCTGGTGAAAATATCCTTCAAACATGAAGGAGAAATAAACATTTCCCCAGACAAAAGCTGAGAGATTTCATCAACACGAGATCTGCCCTACAAGAAATGCTAAAGGGAGTACTTCAAACCCAAAGAAAAAGACATTAATGAGCAATAAGTAATCACCTGGAGGTACAAAAGTCGCTGGTAACAGCAAGTACACAGAAAAACATAGAATATTATAACACTGTAACTGTAATGTGTAAACTACTCTTATCCTAAGTAGAAAGAATAAACAATGAACCAATCAAAAGTAATAACTACAACCGCTTTTCAAGACATAGTACGGCAACAAAAAGTTAAAAATCTTGGGGATCAAGTTAAGGTGTAGAATTTTTATTAGTTTTCTTTTTGATTGTCAGTTTATGCAAACAATGTTAAGCTATTATCAGCTTAAAATACTGCATTATAAGATGGTATTTGCAAGCCTCAAAATAACCTCAAACCAAAAAACATAAAATGAAAACACAAAAAATGACAAGCAAGAGACTAAAACATATCACCAGAGAAAATCTCCTTCACTAGAGGAAGACAGGAAGGACAGAAAGAAGGAAGAGAAGACCACAAAACAACCAGGAAACAAATAATAAAATGGCAGGAGTAAGTCCTTACTTATCAATATTATTCAATGTAAATGAACTAACATCTTCAATTAAAAGACAAAGAATGGCTAAATGGATGAAAAAACTGAGAACCAGTGATCTGTTGCTTATGAGAAACACATTTCACTTATGAAGACACACATAGACTGAAAATGAAAAAGAGAAAAAAATATTCCATGCCAATGGAAAACAAAAAAGAGCAGGTGTAGCTATACTTATATCAAACAGAGTAAATTTCAAGACAAAAGCAATTAAGAAGAGAGAAAGTCAGTATATAATGATAAAGGTTTCAATTCAGTCAGAGGATATAACAATTTTAAATATATATGCACCCAACACTGGAGCTCCTGGATATATAAAGAAAATATTATTAGAGCTAAAAAGAGATTGTCCCAAGTACAATAATAGCTAGAGACTTCAATGCCCCACTTTTAGCACTGGACAGATCTTCCCAACAGAAAATCAACAAAGAAACATCAGACTTAATCTGTACTATACACCACATGCATCTAATAGATATTTACAGAACATTACATCCAACGGCTGCAGAATACACATTCTTTTCCTCAGCACATGGATCATTGTCAAGAATAGACCATATGTTAAGTCACAAAGCAAGTCTTAAAACATTCAAAAAATTGAAATAATATCAAGCCTCATCTCTAAGCACAATAGAATAAACCTAGAAATCAATAAAGAGAGGAATTTTGGAAACTATACAAATACACGGAAATTAAATAATATGCTGCTTAATGATCAGTGGGTCAATAAAGAAATTAAGAGGTAAATTGAAAAGTTTCTTGAAACAAATAATAAAGAAAACACAGCATACCAAAACCTATGGGGTAGAGCAAAAGCAGTACCAAGAGGGAAGTTTATAGCTATTAGTGCCTACATCAAAAAAGAGGAAAACCTTCAAATAAAGAATCTAACAATTCATCTTAATAAGTAGAAAAGCAAGAACAAGCCAAACCCAAAATTAGTAGAAGGAAATAAATAATAAAGATTAGAGTAGAATAAAATGAAATTGAAATGAAGAAAATGAAAAAAGATTGTTGAAGAAACAAAAAGCGGCTTTTTAAAATAGTTAAACAAAATTGACAAACTCTTAGCCAGATGAACTAAGAAAAAAGAGAGAGGATATAAATAAATAAAATCAGAAATGAAAAAATGAGACTTTACAACTGACACTGCAGAAATGCAAAGGCTCATTAGTGGCTACTATCAGCAACTATATGCCAATAAATTGGAAAACCTAGAAGAAAATAGAGAAATTCCTAGACACATAGAACCAACCAAGATTTCACCAGGAAGAAATTCAAATCCTGAACAGGCCAATAACTAGTAGTGAGATCAAAGCTGTAATAAAAAAGCCTCTCAGTAAAGAAAAGCCTGGGACCCGATGGCTTTACTGCTGAATACTACCAAACATTCAAACAAGAACTAATACCAATTCTACTGAAACTATTGCAAAAAATAGAGGAGAGAATATTTCCAGACTCATTCTATGAGACCAACATTACCCAGATACAAAAATCAGACTAAGACACATCAAAAAAAGAAAACTGGGTGTTGGCGGGGCCAAGATGAGTGGCGGTGGGGCCGAGAAAGCTGATTAGATGCAGGTGTGGTTGGCAGCTCTCACCAAGAAGAACAAAAAAAGCTAGTGCATCCTGCACCATCAACTAAGGTATCCAGGTTCTCACATTGGGACTGACTAGGTGGTTGATGCAACCCATGCAGAGAGAAAAGCACGGTGGAGTGATGGCCCATCTGCTAGTTGCACAGGGCAAGGGAAGTTCCTACCCTCAGCCAAGGGAGGGAGTTATTGTGCTACTCTGCTCGGGAAATCATGCTTTTTCAACCCATCTGCACAACTCAGGGATTAGGAGATTCCTTTGTGAGCCTATGCCACCAGGACTTTGGCTCCCAAGCACAGAACTGTGCAGAATCTCAGCAGCCGTTTGGGTTGGACCCAGAGGTAGGTAGCAGGCTGGAGACTGACTAAGATGACCAAGTTCCTGGGGGGAGGTGCGGCAGCCATCCCTGTGGCTCCAAACAGCCATTTTCTGCTGCCAGGGCCTGACAGACTGGAAGGTTTCGACTGGGAGGAATTCTCCACAGTGCAGCACAGTGGCTGTGACAGACTGTGGCCAGATTGCTTCTTTGGGTGGGACCTGGATCTATCCCTGTTCACTGGGCAAGGCCTCCCTACAGGAATATCAGCAACTCCAGTCAGGGGTTTATGGACAGAACTCTGATCTCACTGGGGCAGACACAATCTGAAATGATAAACGGGATATCACCACCTACCCACAGAAACACAAACAACCACCAGAGAATACTATAAACACCTCTATGCAAATAAACTAGAAAATCTAGAAGAAATCGATAAGTTCCTGGAAATATACACCCTCCCAAAACTGAACCAGGAAGAAATCGAATCCCTGAAGAGACCAATAATGAGTTATGAAATTGAAGGAGTAATAAATAGCTTACCAAAAAAACAAAGCACAGGACCAGATGGATTTACAGCTGAATTCTACCAGAGGTACAAAGAGGAGCTGATACCATTTCTTCTGAAATTGTTCCAAACAACTGAAAAGGAGGGACTCCTCCCTAATTCATTTTATGAGGCCAGCATCATTCTTATACCAAAACCTCGCAGAGATGCAACGAAAAAAATAAAAATAAATAATGAAACTTCAGGCCAATATCTTTAATGAACATCAATACAAAAATCCCGAATAAAATACTGGCAAACTGAATCCAGCAGCAAATCAAAAAGCTTATCCACCACGATCAAGTCAGCTTTATCCTCAAGATGCAAGGCTGGTTCAACATACACAAATAAATAAACATAATTCATCACATAAGCAGAACTAAAGACAGAAACCTCATGCTTATCTAAATAGACACAGAAAAGGCCTTCAATAAAATTCAACAACACTTCAAGTTAAAAACTCTCAATGAACTAGCTATTGAAGAAACATATCTCAAAATAATAAGAGCCATTTATGACAAACCCATAGCCAATATCATATTGAATGGGCAAAAGCTGGAAGCATCTCCCTTGAAAACCAGCACAAGACAAGGATGCCCTCTCTCACCACTCCTATTCAACATAGTATTGGAAGTTCTGGCCAGGACAATCAGGCAAGAGAAAGAAATAAAATATACTCAAATAGAAATAGAGGAAGTCAAATTGTCTTTGCAGATGAGATGATCCTAAATCTAGAAAACCCCATTGTCTCAGCCCAAAAGCTTCTTAAGCTGATAAGCAACTTTAGCAAAGTCTCAGGATACAAAATCAGTGTGGAAAAATCACAAGCATCCCTAAACACCAACAACAGATAAGCAGAGAGCCAAATCATGAATGAACTCCAATTCAAAATTGCTACAAAGAGAATCAAATACCTAGGAATTCAGCTAACAAGGGAAATGAAGGACCTCTTCAAGAGGAACTACAAACGACTGCTCAAGGAAATCAAAGAGGACACAAACAAATGGAAAAATATACCTTACCATGCTCATGGATAGGAAGAGTCAATATTGTCAAAATGTCCACACTGCCCAAAGTAATTTATAGATGGTATTCCCATTAAACTACCATTGGCATTCTTCACATAATTAGCAAAAAAACTATTTTAAAATTCATATAGAATCAAAAAAGAGACTATATACTTAAGACAATTCCAAGCAAAAACAACAAAGCTGGAGGCATCACACTACCGGACATCAAACTATACTACAAGGCTACAGTAACCAAAATAGCATGGTACTGCTACAAAAACAGAAACATAGACAAATGCAACAGAATAGAGAACTCAGAAATAAGACTGCACACCTACAACCATCTGATCTTTGACAAACCTGAAAAAAAAAAAACAAGCAATGGGGAAAGGGTTCCCTTTTTAATAAATGGTGCTGGGAGAACTGGCTAGCCATATGCAGAAAATTGAAATTGGACCCCTTCCTTACACCTTTTACCAAAATTAACTCAAGATAGATGAATGAATTAAATGTAAAGCCCAAAACTATAAAAACCCTAGAAGAAAATCTAGGCAATACCATTCAGGACATAGGCAAGGGCAAAGGCATCATGATGAAAATGTCAAATGCAACTGCAACAAAAGGAAAAATTGACAAATGGGATCTAATTAAAGAGCTTCTGCACAACAAAAGAAACAATCATCAGAGTGAACAAACAACCTACAGAACGTGAGAAAATTTTTGCAATCTATCCCTATGATAAAGGTCTCATATACAGAATCTATAAGGAACTTAAACAAATTTACAAGAAAAAAAAACATTAAAAAGTGGGCAAAGGACATGAACAGACAATTCTCAAAAGAAGATATACATGCGACCAGAAAACATATGGAAAAAAAGCTCAATATCACTGATCACTAGAGAAATGTAAACCAAAATCACAATGAGATACTATCTCAGGACAGTCAGAATGACGATTATTAAAATGTCCACAAAATACAGATTCCGGCCAGGCTGTGGAGAAATAGAAAAGCTTTTACACTGTTGTTGTAAACTGTGGATTCATTAAACCTCTTTTTCTTTATAAATTACCCAGTCTCGGGTATGTCTGTACTAGCCATGTGAGAATGGACTGATACAGTAAACTGGTACTGGTAGAGTGGGGTGCTGCTGTAAAGATACCCCAAAATTTGGAAATGACTTTGCAACTGAGTAACAGGCAGAGACTGTAACAGTTTAGAGGGATCCTAAATAAACAAGAAGATGTGGGAAAGTTTGGAACCTCCTAGAGACTTGCTGAATGACTTTGACCAAAATGTTGATAGTGAAATGGACAATAAAGTCCAGGCTGAGGTGGTCTCAGATGGAGATGAGGAACTTGTTGGGAACTGGAGCAAAGGTGACTCTTGCTATGTTTTAGTGAAGAGACTGGTGGCATTTTGTCCCTGCCCTAGAGATTTGTGGAACTTTGAATTTGAGAGAGATGATTTAGGGTATCCGGCAGAAGAAATTTCTAAGCAGCAAAGCATTCAAGAAATGACTTCGGTATTGTCAAAAGCATTCAGTGTTATGTATTCACTACAATATGGTTTGGAACTTATGGAATTTATGTTTAAAAGGAAGGCAGAGCATGAAAGTTTGGAAAAATTGCAGTCTGACAATGTGATTGAAAAGAGAAAGCCATTTTCTGAGGAGAAATTCAAGCTGACTGCAAAAGTTTGCATAGGCAACAAGGAGCCAAATATCAATCGAGAAGACAATGGGAAAATGACTCCAGGACATGTCCGCAGATTTCATGGCAGCCTCTCCCATCACAAGCTGGGAGGCCTAGGAGAAAAAAATAATTGTTTCATGAGCTGGGACCAGGGCCTTGCTGCTTTGTGCAGTTTGGGGACTTGATGACCTACATCCCAGCCATGGCTGAAAGTGTCCGATGTAGAGCTCAGGCTGTTGCTTCAGAGGGTGGAAGCCCCAAGCCTTGGTGGCTTATACGTGGTGTTGGGCATGAGGGTGAACAGAAGTCAAGAACTGAGGTTTGGGAACCTCCACCAAGATTTCAGAGGATGTAGGGAAACAACTGGATGTCCAGGCAGAAGTGTGCTACAGGGGCAGAGAACTCATGGAGAACCTCTGCAAGGGCACGGCAGAAGGGAAATGTGGGGTGGGAGCCTCCACAAAGAATCCCCACTGGTGCACTATCTAGTGGAACTGTGAGAAGAGGGCCACTGTCGTCTAGACCCCAGAATGGTAGATCCATTGACAACTTACACCAGGTGCCTGGAAAAGCCACAGACACTCAATGCCAGCCTGTGAAATCAGCCAGGAGAGGGGCTGTACCCTGCAAAGCCACAGGGGTGGAGCTGCCCAAGACCATGGGAACCTACCTCTTGCGTCAGCATGACCTGGATATGAGACATGGTGTCAAAGGAGATCATTTTTGAACTTTAAGATGTGACTGCCCTATTGGATTTCAGACTTTTATGGGGCCTGTAGCCCCTTTATTTTGGCCAATTTCTCCCATCTGGAATGGGTGTATTTACCCTGTACACCCATTGTATCTAGAAAGTAACTTGCTATTGATTTTATAGGCTCATAGGTGGAAGGGGCTTGCCTTATCTCACATGAGACTTTGGACTTGGGCTTTCGAGTTAATGTTGAAATAAGTTAAGACTTTGGAGGACAGTTGGGAAGCTATGATTGGCTTTAAAATGTGATGACATGAGTTCTGGGAGGGGCCAGGGGCAGAAAAATATGGTTTCACTGTGTCCCCACCCAAATTTCAAATTGCAGCTCCCATAATTCCCATGTGTCATGGGAGGAACCTGGTGTGAGGTAATTGAATCATGGAAGCATTTCTTTCTTGTGCTGTTCTTGTGATAGTGAATAAGTCTCATGAGATCTGATGGTTTTATAAAAGGGAGCTCCCCTGAACACGCTCTCTCTTGCCAGCCTCCATGTAAGTCCTGCCTTTCTCCTCCTTTGCCTTGTGCCATGATTGTGAGGCCTCTCCAGCAACGTGGAACTGTGTGAGTCAATTAACCCTATTTTTCTTTATAAATTACCCAGTCTTGGGTATGTCTTTATTAGCAGCATGAGAACAGACTAATATAACCTAGGACCAGAAATACCACTTGACCCAGCAATCCCATTACTGGGTATATACCCAAGGGAATATACATTATTCCACGATACAGATACATGCACATGTATGTTCACTGCAGCACTATTCACAATAGCAAAGATGTGGAATCAATGCAAATGCCAATCAATGATAGACTGGATAAAGAAAATTTGGTACATATACATAATGGAATACTATGCAGCCACAAAAAGAAATGAGATCATGTCCTTTGCAGTAACATGGGTGGAGATGGAAGCCATTATCCTCCGCAAACTAACACAGGAACAGAAAATCAAACACCACATGTTCTAACTTATAAGTGGGATCTGAACAACGAGAACGCATGGACACAGGGAGGGGAACACCACACACTGAGGCCAGTTAGGGAAGGACAGCATCAGCTAACTAGCTAATGCATGCTGTGTTTAATACCTACATGATGGGTTGATAGGTGCAGCAAATCACCACGGCACACATTTACCTATGTAATGAACTGCACATCCTGCACATGTACCCTGGAACTTAAAAATGATAATAAAAAGAGAAAACTACAAGCAAATATCTTTGATGACTATTAATGCAAAAATCCTCAACAAAAATACTAGCAAACCAAATTCAACAATACATTAGAAAGATCATTCATCATAACCAAGTGGGATGTACCCCTGGTAAACAAGGATGGTTCAACATATGCAAATCAATGTGAGATATCATCAATAGAATGAAGGATAAAAACCATATGATCATTTCAATTGATGCTGAAAAAGCATTTTATAAAATTCAACATCCCTTCATGACAAAAACTCTCAAAAAACTGGGGATAGAAGGAACATATCTAAACACAATTAAAGTCACATATGAAAGATCCACAGCTAGTATCATACTAAATGTGGAAAAATGGAAATTCTTCCCTCTAAGATCTGGAACATGACAAGGATGCCCCCTGTCACCACTATTATTCAACATAGTACTGGTAGTCCTAGCTAGAGCCATCAGATAAGAGAAAGATATAAAGGTTATCCAAATTGGAAAGGAAGAATTCAAATTATCATTGTTTACAGATAATATGATGTTATATTTGGAAAAAACTAAAGACTCCACAAGAAAACTATTAGAACTGATAAACAATTTCAGTAAAGATGCAGGATCCAAAATCAACATACAAAAATCAATACCATTTCTATATGCCAACAGTGACCAATGTGACAAAGAATTTAAAAATTATTTCCATTTATAATAGCCACACAAAAAATTAAATACCTAGGAATTAACTTATCCAAAGAAGTAAAAAATCTCAATCATGAAAACTATGAAACACTGATGAAAGCAATTGAAGAGGGCACCAAAAAAGGGAAAAAATATTCCATGTTCATAGATTAGAAGAATCAAAATTGTTAAAATGTCCATACTACCTAAAGCAATCTACAGGTTCAATGCAATCCCAATAAAAATTCCAATGATATTCTTCACAGAAATAGAAAAAAAATCCTCAGATTTGTATAGAACCACACAAAAAACCCAGTATAGACAAAGTTATCCTGAGCAAAAAGAACAAAACTGAAGGAATCACATTACCTGACTTCAAATTATACTACAGAGCTATAGTAACCAAATAGCATGGTATTGGCATAAGAACAGACACATATACCAATGGAACAGAACAGATAACCCAGAAACAAATCCTCACTACTACAGTGAAATAATGTTTGACGAGGTTGCCAAAAACATACATTGGGGAAAATACAATCTCTTCAATAAATGGTGCTGGAAAAACCTGATATCCACATGCAGATGAATGAAATTAAACCCCTATCTCTCACCATATAGAAAAATCAAATCAAATCGGAGTAAATACTTAAATTTAAGATCTCAAGCTATTATACCATACAAGAAAACATTGGAAACAATCTCCAGGATATTGGTCTGGGCAAAGATTTCTTGAGCAATACCTCACAAGCACAGGCAACCAAAGCAAAAATGGGCAAATGGGATCACATCAAGTTACAAAGCTTCTGCACAGCAAAGGACACAATCAACAACAAAGTGAAGAGACAACCCACAGAATGGGAGAAAATATTGCAAACTACCCATCTGACAAAGGATTAATAATCAGAATATATGGAGAGCTCAAATCACTCTAGAGAAAAAGAAATCTAATATTGTAATAAAAAATGGGCAAAAGATTTGAATAGGCATTTCTCGAAATAAGATATACAAATGGCAAACAGGCATATGAAAAGATGTTTGACATAATTAATCATCAGAGAAATGCAAATCAAAACTACAATAAGATATTATCTCACCCCCGTTGAAATGGCTTTTATCTAAAACACGGGTGGTAACAAATGTTGGCAACGATGTGGAGAAAAGCGAATCCTTGTACAGTGTTTGTGGGAATATAAATTAGTACAATCACTTGGAGAACAGTTTGGAGGTTCCTCAAAAAACTAAGAATTGAGCTACCATTACAATCCAGCAATCCCATTGCTGGGTATATGCACAAAAGAAAGGAGATAAGTATATCAAAGTGATATCTGCACTCCCAGGGTTTTTTGCAGCACTATTCACAGTAGCCAAGATTTGGAAGCAACTGAAGTGTTCATCAACAGATGAATGGGTAAAGGAAATCTGGTACATATACAAAATGGAGTACTATTCAGAAAAGAGAATGAGATCCTGTCATTTGCAACAACATGGATGCATGGATCATTATGTTAATTGAAGTAAGCCAGGCACAGAAAGAGAAACTTCACACGTTCTCACATATTTGTGGGAGCTAAAAATTTCAACAATTGAACTCATGAAGACAGAGAGTAGAAGGTGGTTACCAGAGGCTAGCAAGGGTTGTTGGTAGGCAGGGGAGGTAGGGATGATTAATGGGTACCAAAAAAGAAAGAATGAATAAGACCTAGCGTTTGCTAACACAACAGGGTGGCTACAGTCAATAATAATTTAATCATATGTTTTAAAATAACTAAAAGTATCATTGGATTGTGTGTAACACAAAGGATAAATGCTTGAGGGAATGGATGTCCCATTTACCACGATGTGATCATGACAATTGCATGTCTGTATCAAAGTATTTCATGTACCCCATGAATATATACACCTATGATGTACTAACAAAAATTAAAAAGAAAAAAGTAAATACATTAAAAATTTAAAAACACTATAAAATTCAAGAGCTAAGAACAATTTTTCATAAATAAATCTATAACTAAAAACATTAGCTTAAAAAACGCTTGTAATTAGTTCTATCACACACCACTATCAACTTTTGTGTCTCATTCATATATTGAATCTTCCATTAGTTTTTCCTTTGCCTAATTCTAGATGTCAATTTTTATCTTTTTCTTATCCATTAACAATCAGGAAATAGTTTTGCTCAAAGTTTATTATTTTAACATTGCTAATAATTCTTACATAACTATGAAATCAAATTAGAAAAATAATGATTTTACTGTTGAAAATAATAAAACTTCCTTTACTAGCTGAGGTTGAATCATTTATAATACATATACCAATATACTCATATGTATCAATTTTCTCATTCCAATTTTTTATGTTAAGATTTGAAATTAGGTTGGCAAAACATTCATATTTGATTAACATAAATATTCTATTTATGAAGTGGGTTCATTACATAAGATTTTGCTAGTGCTAATAATAAATATGTTTTCTGTATATACAAAACAAAATTAATATTGAAAAACTTTTGTGCAATTAGTGAAATGTAAATCTGACCTGAAATTAGAAGAAAACCACCTCAGGCTACTCTGTTTTATCATTTAGCACTGTGTTCCCCTTCAGTCACACCAGATAAGAAAGTAACTTCTACATTTACGATAAATTATAACATATTATGAATTTGTTAAAAGGCACTATTACTTCATAAAATATCTTTTTATCAAAGGACTTGATATATGTCCTAATACTATTTCACCTATGACCACTAAAGTATGTGTTATTCAAATAGCATTTATTGTTTCAACATTTCTGAAATATTTTATCTGAGAATGCTCATCATTTGAAGGTTTTTGAAGGTTTTCAAGTCTGACTCCTTTTTGGAGTTAATAAAATCTTTCTATAAAATACAAAATCCTCTCTTATGAATATGTGTAAGGGTGAGCTAAAGCAATGGTTTTCTATTGTTGAAATTCCTGGGGCCCCCACCGCAACCCGAGAAAACATTTGTCAAACTCTGGAGACATTTTTGCTTGTCACAATTAGGCAAGAGAGTGCCACTAAGATCTATTTGGTAGAGGCCAGAGATGCTGCCAAACTTCCTGCAGTACATAAGACAGCTCTCACACCACCCCACAAGGAAGAATTATCTAGCTTCAAATGTCAATAATGCCAAGGTTGAGAAGCCCTAGGCCAACAGAATGAAAATTGCAATCCTAGAAGAAAAAGACTAAATTGTACCCCAATAGAAATTTTACTCTGAAATCGGCATAAATAGAATTATAAATGTAGGGTCCAGCAAATAATCAGAAAAGACTCTGAGAAAATATAAATGTATAGAAACTAATAACATTTGTGCATTAGAATCATTTGTGCAAACATCATTTTTTTAGGGCATTAAACTGACTATAACAAAACATACTTTTGTTTAGACTTTCGTATCTTGTGGCTAATTAAAAACCCGTAAGTCATTAACAAATAATACCTAATTTTGGGCTGGGCATGGTAGCTCATGCCTGTAATCCCAGCACTTTGGAAGGCCGAGGCGGGAGGATCACCTGAGGTCAGAAGTTCTAGACCAGCCTGGCCAACATGGTGAAACCCCGTCTCTACTAAAAATACAAGAAATTAGCTGAGTGCGGTGGTGGGCGCCTGTAAGCCCAGCTACTCAGGAGGCTAAGGCAGGAGAATTGCTTGAACCCGGGAGGCGGAGGTTGTAGTGAGCCGAGATCGTGCCATTGCACTCCAGCCTGGGCAACAAGAGTGAAACTCCGTCTCAAAAAAGAAAAAAAAAAAATGAATTCCTAATTTTATGAAAATAGAAATGAAATAAATGCTTTGAGTAGGAGAAATTTTTTTTTTTCCTCTCACTATCCTAGAAAAACATGAAAAGCGAAGCTTTTGACTTAGATTATTTGTATGCCAGGACAGAATAGCAGCAAACCAGTTTCTATCTGTTACCAATGGAAGTAGGGCCTGAAAGCTGCAACATTTATACAACAGCTTGAAAATAGAGGTGATAAAAATCAATGCATATGTAAAATGTAATACTTGGGTTTATGTAAATCCAATTAGTCTAACGATCAGACCACCTGACTACAGAACTGGAGAAATCTTGATTTCCTCAGCCGACCTGTCAATTTCAATGAAAAATTTAAAATCAAACTTTGACTTAGGTTCCAAGACAAGTTCTTAATCAGAGCTAAAACCACAGGTGACAAAGAACTGAGGACACCCCATTTACCCTGATGTGATTATTACACATTGTATGACTGAATCAAAATATCTCATGTACCGCACAAATACGTACACCTACTATGTAGTCATAAAAATTAAAAATGGAAGAACAACTAAAAATATGGAAAAGAGTAGGTATCCATAGAAGACATTAGTCTATTTATTTGATATGAATAAATGTCCAACTCTTTTTATTTTATGTTTATTTTAACTTACATCTAATATTGGTAATTATTTCTTAAATGAAAGTGGCAAGTGTATTTGATCTGACAATATCATATGAAAAACTACAGTGGTTTAAATATCTAGGTTTTACAGGTAATTTTAATATTTTAATGTAATTTTTATAATTTCATGCATTATTTAGTGATTTTCTGATGTACAGTCAGTAAACATAAGTTTATGACAAAATATGGATAATTTTCCACAGCTCCCTACATCTTAATTAATCAGCATCACATTGAGCAATAATATGTAATTCAATCTATAGTGCAGAAAAAAAACACAATAGGATGAAAGCAGAATTATCACTACTTTGTAATCTACCAGGAAGCTGATCTTCATCCCTTACCTATTATAACATTGCATCTCCCTTATTCTCCTAAAATAGCTGTCACAAATATCAAAAGATGTGGCAGTTCTTGATAGTTAAGGGTTATACAATAAATGCTTCAACAGTATACAGTTAGCAGAAGGAGTTTTTAGTTTAAATCTTTTTAATTGGGAATATCAAGGCTTTTGTCTCCTTTTTATGATCTACTTTGAATAATGCTTACCAATTGGTAAGGACATATATAGGTAAACCTGTTTTCAATCCGTGAGCAGCCACATGTTTTAATTTAAAAGTGAAAAAAAGAACAAGGTATACATCTAATTGTAATACAAATGTTGTATTTGGAAAGTCATATCTTGATAAGATTTTTAAAACAATGTTCTCAAAATTGAGTTCCAAACTATAATGCCCACAAAAACGTTTTGTAACATTGATAAGTTACTATGATAAAAGGATGATAATTGAGCAATATGGTAGAAAATATGTTAAAAATACTTTTTATCTTGTCTAAAAATTAATGTAAAGTTGTAATATATCAGAGCCAGTATAATATTTATACTTTCCTTCTGGGAGTCAAAGCAGAAGTTAAAATTGTAGGTATCCACAGCCTCTGTATGTTATCACAGCATCTAATTGTAAGAAAAATGGTTTAAAGACATGTATGCAAGGCTACCAAGAAAATCTTCAAAACGAATGTAGCAATGCCAAAATAAACAGTTAAAAGAGGAATCTCTTATCAATGATGCCTATTACACTGAGGTTTGTGACACCTACAAGATCCAATTATAATTCTCTTAAAAATCCCTATTATTCTAAATAGACACACCTATTTGGTTTGACTTAATCTCTTAGAACAGTAACAGATGCTGCTCCTTGTAAGATACTGTAAATGTAATAGAAACCAAGAATAAGGGTGCTACAACACTGATCTAAACTAAAGAGGGGAGTTTACTAATAACAGAAAAGAACATCTAATGGAGATTTGAGCTTATCTAATCCTATGAATAATTCTGGACTATTAAAAAATATTTTCTGAGAATCTTGAAATGCATTTGCTAAAGTAGATAATTTCTAGGAAGTATTTTTAAAGTATTTTGAAGGAAAATGAAATGTAGTAGGATGTAGTGGGGAGGGATATGATTCATGAAATTTGATTATTAACTTCTGAATAATGAAGAATTGGCTATGTTTTCAAATAAATTAGCTATACATATTATGCTAAATGTACTTTCAGGAACATAATGGCATGTACAAAGAATCCTGGATATTAAAGCAATGCTCAGGTAATAGACTTTGAAGTTATGTTTTCATTATCAAACACTAATAAAATCACAATATCTCAAAAATTTGACAACACTGGGATATATGTATTGAAATATAGTGAACCCTATCAATGATAGTAGACTGGTAAACATTTGGTAAATACGGATTTTTAACTTCTGAAATAGACATTTTTCTCTTATCAAAATCAAGTTTCTGATTTGGCAAACTGCCAAGTAGTGAAATAAAAATAATTAATATAAAGATAACTCATGGACACAAAGAAGGGAACAACAGATATTGGGCCTACTTTAGGGTGGAGGGTGAGAGGAGAGAGAGGAGCAGAAAAAAATAACTATTGGGTACTTACCTGTCTTAGTACCTGGGTGATGAATTAATCTGTACAATAAACCCCCAAGACAGGAGTTTACCTATATAACAAACCTGCACATGTACTCCTAAACCTAAAATAAAACTTTAAAAAAACTAAAAAGCAAATAAATAGTAAAGTTAAGGAACCTAATAATAAGTAATTTGCATTTTCAACATCATTACTCTAAAATTGAATGTGGACTAGTAAAACATTAGATTATTAAGCTAACTGAACCCCTATACCACATCTTGTATTTAACTTGATTTTTATTATCACCATAATTATTTAGGTTTATAGCAATTGCTATTAATTCTATTGACTAGATACTTAAATTTAATTCAATTATTTTTATTAGGGACTATGCTAAATATTCAAGCTATCTCTATTAATTAAAGGCAAGTTTCAAAATAAACATACTTGGAAAGTGTTTAGTAATTCATAAAATTACTTCTTTTCATAAGTAATGTCATATAAAGAAATCAGTAATCCTGATATGCATAGTTGAATTGTAAAGTAGAAGTCTTCATCGTAGCAGGTTCAATGAGTCAATGCACATAGAAATTTTTTTGTGGACCAAACTTATACTTATCTTTAGAAAAGTGATTAGTTCTGTTATAATAGGATACAGGCATTTAAGTCACCAACAAATGATACATGCTGCATATGAAATATATAATATCCAAAACCCTGAGTGAAAAATTCAGGCAAATGAATGTAGAAATCCAAAACATACGATGCAAAAATAAACTATTATGGGTGACAGCACATTTTGTACTGTTGATGAATGGAGAAAAACAGCAAAATACAAATTTGATCCCAAATCAATGGTATCGATTATCTTCAAACCAGTAACATAGGAAAGTATAACAAAAACAATTAGATTATTGGTGACACCATGTTTTGTAATGTAGATGAACAAAGAGACAACACTTGATCCTGCATCAATGGTATCAATTATCTTCAAGCCAGTATAATAGAAGACAGTATAAGCTGTTCTAAATATTTATGAAGAATATGTCCATGGAGATAAAGTCATAAAGAATGTGCCTGTAGTCCCAGCTACTCGGGAGGCTGAGGCAGGAGAATAGAGTGAACCCCCATGGGGCGGAGTCTGCAGTGAGCCGAGATCGCGTCATTGCACTTCAGCCTGGGCAACAGCGAGACTCTGTCTCAAGAAAAAAAAAAAACAAAAAAAAAATTCCTCTCTTACAAAAACCACTCAGAGCTTTGGCTCTACAATCTAAAACCTCATTTTGGAAAGCTGCTTAAGTGGTTCTGTATCTCATCCTGTCTTCAGGCTATACTCAAATGGCCTGTAGACAAATGGCTATTTAGGGAAATATGTGTAGAAAAGGAGAAACTCGGTCACACATTGAGCTTCTGAAAACTTTACTTGTTTAGTAACTTGGCAAGACATTTAATACCTCCTACATTTTGTGGATCAGTGCATAGAAGCAAACGACATAGTCTTCATCTATTTGAATAGTATCAAAGGAAATAGAAATCTTATGTCCAAAAGTAACATAATTCTAAATGCAATTATGCCCGTTTTCCATGTCTGTTTTTTTTGTGTGTGTGTAAAATTTAGCTTTAGAAAACACTACATTAGATGAACAATGCCAGCTCAGAAAAAAATTCACCCTATGTACAAGCTTGATGACAGCGTTTCTGCTGTTAGACAATTCTTCAGAAGCTAGTCTTTTGCCAACAGAACCAAGTCAGCCTGAGAGTCGCTCTGCTAAATTAAAACAGAGTGAAGTTCAAGTTTGTGCAAATAATAGTTGACCCCATTGATGTTTTGCAGAAGATGGCAGCTCTCTGGCTCAAGGTAGACCAGACCTTGAGAAGAAGGATGTAAAATGGAAAAGAAGGAATTACTGTAGAAATTTGGGGTTTTAAATATTGTGACTATATATTCTGGTTGTCCCTGTTTAATTTAATTTAATGTCCCTGTTTAATCTTAATTTGGAGGATAAATGATATACCCATCCTAATATTATACAAGGCAAATAGATAACAAAAATTCATATGAGGATAAAATACAGATTAAAAAATGTACAAAAAACGCTGGGCCTGGTAGTGCTAGCCTGTAGTCTCAGCTTCTAAGGAGGCTGAGGCAGGGGAATTGATTGAGCCCAGGAGTTCAAGGCTGTAGCATGCCATGGTTGTGCCTGTGCAAAGCCACTACACTCCAGCCTGGGTAACACTGTGAGACCCTGTCTCTATAATACACACACACACACACACACACACACACACACACACAGAGGACACAAAGATAATTCATTCTTTAAGCTACAAAATGAATCTTTGTACACTGTACACTGTACAGGTCAAACCATTTGTCCACTGCCTCTGTGAAAAATCATTTGAGAAAGCAATACTTAATAATAAATATTGCCTAAGCAGTCATCAAAATAAACAGCTATCTTTTTAAGAAGCACCGACTGATAACTGCAACTAGGAAAGCAAATCCAATTTTTCATGAAATAGCAATTGCTAACCATGTAGGAAAGCATAGAGTTATGCAGTCAGTTATTTGTGAGGAAACAACAAAACTCTCAACATCACACTGTAAACACAAAACAAAAAAGCTGTTGTCAGTAAAAAGAAGTGTCAATAATTCCTTGTGGCAATGCACCACAAATATGGGTGAATAAACTATCACTAACTCATTGAAATAATCACAAATTTAAGGAAACTTAGCAGCAACAGATTAAACAATTGTCAATGAACTGTGTAACAAGGCATGGAGACACTTTAAAATAACTTTTTTTTTTTTTTTTTTTTTTTTTTGAGATGGAGTCTTACTCTGTCGCCCAGGCTGGAGTGCAGTGGCGCGATCTGGGCTCACTTCAAGCTCCGCCTCCCGGGTTCACGCCATTCTCCTGTCTCAGCCTCCGGAGTAGCCGGGACTACAGGCGCCCGCGACCACGCCCGGCTAATTTTTTTGTATTTTTAGTAGAGACGTGGTTTCACCAGGTTAGCCAGGATGGTCTCAATCTCCTGACCTCGTGATCCGCCCGCCTCGGCCTCCGAAAGTGCTGTGATTACAGGCATGAGCCACCGCGCCCGGCCTAAAATAACTCTTGAGGTTACATAAGAACATAGTTTATGTTTACTTATAGCTGTATCGAATCTAATTAAGAACTTGTTCCTTAAGATGAAAAAAAGAAACAAAAATAATTGTGTCACTAAATTTCATAGTTGCCTGGTAATAACAGGAAGGTTATTGGGTAAAATGCCATTTTTTACATTAATCAATACCTAAATAAGGCCAGTCACTATTTTGTGGTGTAAAATAGTAATGCAAAACATTATTTCAGAAAGAAATCTTTTTTTTTGCTTCACACCTTTATAGTCTAGATTGTAGAACACCAGACATAGTTACAATGAGATTACAGTTTACAAAACATCCACAAAACAGTTGGAGAAAAATTTTAAATTACTTACATTTCCATTAGTATATTTGAGTAGAAAATATAGCTTAAGAAGTCTTGTCTATTAGATAAATAATTAAAATCCAATTTCTAAGAGCTAAAGAGATTATCAGTTTTATTAAACTGGTTACCTTACACGTAAACTAGTTTTCTGTGTGAGAGCTCTAGCTATATGAAAATGCTTTCATTTTAGCAGTTAGGTAATTGATCTTAAACATATAGATAAACAGAGTATAATTAACCTCAAACTATAGGGAAAATAGATTATAGAGAAATGTTTAGAATCTTAAAAGCTGCAGATGAATAAATGGGCTATAAATAGCCTATACAGAAGCCAGCCAATGATTTTCCAGTTTAGGGCCATATATCCATTCCCCCATGAGGTCATCTTCACTTTTCCAGGCCCATGAGTACTTCTAGTTAAAAAGGTGCATTCCTATACCATTACTATGGTTTCCAAAGGATTAAACATTGATAGCATGGTCATTGTTACTTCTTCAACTTGGAGATTTCTACATAGGGTTTGGAATCTAGGAAAATGATGCATTTGATGGGGGTAATATAGCTATCTGTGACTGATCCCTTAGGAATAACTTTCCTCACAGCAAAATTAAAAGATTTAAATGCCTCCTGAAACACACAGGATCTGTTAAATACTTACATCCTCCAAGCAAAAGCAGTATGAAACCACTAAACACAAAATCAAATAATCAGCATCAGAATCTTATTATATTGTGTATTCAAACAATGTAAGTAGCCTTCATTTTATATTTACTTATTTATTGAAGGTAGTTTAATGGGAGTTAATTGAATATGCATTAGCTTGTAGCTAAGCATGATCATATTCTTTGGCTTTTTGATATCTATATGCAATCTAAAATTCATGCATATAATCATTCAGTGACTTAAATAAAGCACTCTGTTCAACTAAAAGTAATCTATAAAGTATTAAACTTCTTAATTTATTTATAGTCCATTAAATTGTTTCTCTAGAATTCATGCATCCAGACCGTAGAGGCAGTGTATGATTATCTAGAACACAACTTCGTTCTTCTGTTAACCATTTACTTTGTTATTTGCATTACTGACAGCAATGCTCCCCTTGTTCCACTGTCCTTAGGATGCAGGCTGTTTATTCTGCTATATTTCCCTGGTCAAACTATTTTAAATGAATTCTTCTAAACAACTCTTGTCCTCAGAGGATATCTTGGCTCTCTTATAAGCCAGAAAAACATACTAGCATCCAGGAAAGGCTTGTTATAGCAAATCTTCTGCTTGAAAAAGGATATTTTAAGACCTATTTAATTTAGAATAATTAAAAATAAAAAAGTTCAAGTACGT
This sequence comes from Homo sapiens, assembly GCF_000001405.40. Taxonomy (NCBI): domain Eukaryota; kingdom Metazoa; phylum Chordata; class Mammalia; order Primates; family Hominidae; genus Homo; species Homo sapiens. The sequence continues at coordinate 5,066,027 of NC_000024.10, read as the reverse complement.
TATTACACACCTCTTCTACAAAATCTACTGGAAAAAAAAAACAGTCGTGATTGTCTTAGAAAGGGGATAGGAAAATAAGTTCTCAGCTTGAAAAAAGAAAAGAAGAGAGGAAATCTTTTTTAAAAAAATAAGGTCATATGAATGAGATGTAAATAAAGCAATTCCAGATGGTAGAGGCAGTATATGAGAAAGTACTCATATTAGCAGTATCACTGTCATATGGAGGGCCACGAGGAGACAAAGGCAAATGAAGAGGAGACATTTGATTCAAAAGATAAGCCAAAGAGGGTAAGTGGAAGACTTAAAACAAAACAAAACAAAACAAAAACTGAACTAGGTCCAGAAAAAAATGTAGAGCCAGTGGCACTGATCAAGAAATAGATTAATGTTGTCATATTTTTCTCTGTATACATACATAAAACATGTATGGAAAACTAAGTTTAAGTCGTAAAATAGGCTTTTTAAGGAGTATGAAGCATCAAGTCTTAGAAAAATTGTGAAAGACTATAATTAACCTCAACCTACAGAGTAAAACCCATAACTATTGTTTACAGAACAGTTTTCTTCAGGGTACTCAGCAAACTTTATAGATTTTACTTATATCATTAGCTTTTATAATATCCCTGCATGCTACATAAGGATAATTTTAATTTTCTCTATTATATAGGAGAGGAATTGTAGGCACAGATAACAAGTTTGAGAATTAAGATAATAGAAAGACTTAGGTAATTACCACAACTAGCACAAGAATTACCATTGTCATCAAAACGTTTTATTTCCAGTCTCAAAATGATTGTACAGATAAATGTTGGCAAAAAGTATTACTGCCATAATTGCAAACCTAGTAACAAAATAAGATATCATAAGTTAATGAGAGTGCTTGGTAAAAATCTACTAAAAATAGATATAAAATTTTAACTTTTCTGAGACAATAAAACTTTAAATAATTCCATTTTCTTAATGGCAGCATGATCAATTTAAGATAAAATGTTCTTACAACATAATAAATATGGCCAAGTGTGATGGCTCATGCCTGTAACCATGACATTTCGGGAGGCTGAGGCGGGAGGATCACTGGAGGTGAGGAGTTTGAGACCCTGGCCAAAATGGTGAAACCCTGTCTCTACTAAAAATACAATAACAACAACAAAATTAGCCAAGCTTTGTGGCAGACGTCTGTAGTCCCAGCTACTCGGGAGGCTAAGGTAGGAGAATCAATTGAACTCAGGAGGTGGAGGTTGCAGTAAGCCGAGATCGTGCCACTGCACTCTAGCCTGGGCGACAGAGCAAGGCTGTGTCTCACAAAGAAAAAGAAAGAAAAAAGATACACACACACACACACACACACACACACACACACAAGTATGTATGTATATATAAAATAAATACTTTCCTCTTTACTATCATTAGAGCAAAAATATAATCCTGATAATGCCTGTTATTAATCTCCTTGGGGACACTGACTGTTTTCCAAACACATTTTTTATCCCTCAAGACTTTGTACATTGAGCACTCATTAAATATGTGTTAAATTTAGATTACTGGAATTAGACTAAGATATTAGTTAGCAGTCAGTTATTGTTACATCTAGACAAAATTTAATAGAACAGCCTTTCATTCTTTAGAATTTCACTTCATTGTATTGAAGAAGCTTAAAATAATGAAATTCTATATATAAAATAAGTAAAAGGATGAGAAATATTCATGATAATACTCTACATAAAATAAAATTCCAGATTAAGTGAGATCGCAAAGACAAATGTAAATTAGGTTAGAAAATCCAAAACTTCATTTTATGATTTTCAACTTTTAAAATCCTTTGTTTTGCTTAATGAAACAAAATTCACACTTACTTTGCAAAATATGTCTTTTAAAATATGTTTCCTATATATGACGTTATACTACTTTCCTCAGTTTACCAGCAAGTATAGAGATATGTGCATGCAGCAATTAAAACATGCTACCACTAAATACTCTTCCAATGTATAAATAATAAGCAATAGGTTTCTTATGATTGTTCACCTAGAAGTACCTCTTCTATTTCAAAGGAAATACAAAATAGATAACTAGCGATATTTTTATAGTTTTAATTGCTAAAACGTGTGTGTCCACATGTATTCTATTTTGATGCCCTTAGTGCTCTAGTAATAGATATTTAACATTTTATGGATAAAACACTTTATTACCTATTTGTAGAATAGATTGGTGAAGATATAATTTGTGCAAGCAAAAGACCAATGAAAAAAGGACATTTCAAAAATAATTAAGAAAATTAAGTTCTGCGTTATTTAATTAACTTAGACTCAATATTTTCCTTCCTCCAGTGACATCTACCTGCACTGGGAAATTGAAAGACACTTGAATAACAATCGGCTAAAATTTAATTTGTGGTCAAAGCAATTTATTTGGTCTATTAGGCTACTAGATTATTTATTCATTCTTGATTAGTTTTGTGAAGATGACTGTACACTGATAAATACAAAAGGGAGAATATTAATTTCTTCAGTATTTGATTTTTAAGTGAGAATTAGTTTTCATCTGCACTTTATAGTTTTTGCTAAAGACCAATTCCATCAAAAACTGGTCCAAACTCATACCCTGGTAAAATCATGAAGATAGATACATTATTTTATAGATAAAACTCAAACAAACTCAGAAAGTTTTCTGCAGAATGACCTTATTGCTTTTATCATCACTTCTCATACAAGGTGTCATCACCTCTGATACAGAAATCTTACCAATCCATCAATTTATTTTATCTAAGATTGAAAGATCACACTTCAGTTCACTAAGAGAGTGTCTCCACAGCAGTGTTGTTATATAATCAATATAAATCAGTGTAGACAAAAAGAATAATTTATGCCAAGAAAACTACCCACATTGGGATATTTATAATCTTAGATTATTAGCATTGATCAAAGTTGTTAAAGACAATTAGATCTGTGTAATACAACCTCATGTTTTCATTAAATAATTCTATACCAATTAATTTTGTCTTATAAAAATATGTTTTTATTTTAGGATTTAAGTCATTTCCTTTGGCAAGAATAATATTAAGTTCAAATTTATTTTTACTTAGATACAGTGGACAATGAAATAACAGATCAATAAATCTGTATCTAATAACATAAAATTTAGTGGTGCTTCTTATAGTTAGTTGGTAATATTAAGTTAAGAGGCATGATGTGAGTAGATCATTCAGATTTGGGAACACATTTGTTCTTCAGAGCCTCAATTTATAAACTCCAGAATTGAACTATTTACGATGTCCAACTTATGTTCCATAAGTGTCCATCCATACTGTGGGATTTTTAATAACAGATATATTTAACAAAAGGCATTAGTGGACGATGAACACTAACCAAGACTCTGATAATAGTAATGAAGTCAAAAGTTACTTAATCCTATTAGTGTCACACTCTCATTTGTTAAGACCTGACAGCATTAATAAAGATTCATTTATGAAGACAGTGAGTTTTATGTTGTCATTTTTTCCCCAGTGGAAGTGTACTTTGATAATAACCCCAGCTTTCAGAAACCTCATAGTCGTTAGCATTTGATTGTCATCTCTTTTGCTTTTTAACATTAGATCAAAAATATTAATATGCAAATTATAGAATTCAGAGACTATAAAATCAAGTAAACTTAAAGCTGAAATGGAGAAATTTTAAGTGAAACTTCATTTTATATTTGAAAAAATGAGGAAATCATTATATTCAAACTCTTCTGAGCCTCTTGGAGGCAAATAAACTAAGTAAGTTTTCTAAAATTGTTATACTCATTGTTATAGTATATTCTCTCTGCACTGACATCAATGAATCTTTACTCACTTCTAATGTTACACATCACTTTGAGTTATGGTTACATAATGTTAAAAAATATTAATTTCTTCAGAACAACAAAGTTTGCTTGCTCTTTGTCTTCACAATGTATTATTTGATGTCTCATTCTTGGCAATTTTAAATCAAGATTTCTAAATCTTGTGGTAGGTGAGATTTTTCACAATTTAGATTTTCTAACCCCAGATCGCAAAACAAATCTAATTCTAACCTTAGTTTCATAAATCCAGTCCAGCTTTTGATCAATGGGGAAGATGTTTACTTAAAATAAAAACAAGGGCCCAAACATCTTGACTATGTTAAAAGACTACCCCAGTTTAAATGATCTTTTGAGATTCATGGAACAGATGAGGATGCCTTATGGGATGGGTAGAAACAAGGGAAGGCCTTGAGTAGGATCACTAATCTGAGAAAAAGTTGATCTTCATGTTCTGTCAACAAAAATTGTCAACCTTTGAAACACTGTCATGCCTGCCTTAAGGAAATCAATCAGCACACTGTCACTGGGCTAGTACAGAAATGTGACTGTTGATATATGCCACGGAAGATGGAAATTTGAAGCAGAAAATAAAAATAACCGTAACATCATTATATAAACTAATTTCCCCTGAGTTCCTACCATGAGAAAAGAAGGAAGTCCCTGTGGTTTATATACATATTCTGAGTCAGACTGGGTGCTTGAGGGATGTTTCTATTTGTGAAAATGTTGGCTTCCCTGTCAAAAAATACTTACAATATTTTAAAAAGCTTTATAAATAACAGGCCATCTGAATTAAAAAGTGAAAGTTAAAGAGATCTGTGATTTCCTACTCCTGAACAACAGTTCTTCCAAATACTGCAATGTGTAGTACGATGTGTGTGAGTATGTAAATAGCTATAATGTATATAGGGAATTAGCATTGCAGTATGATTTTACTTGAAAGAGAGAAAAGAGAAGCTTTCAAATCTGGATTCTTTTTTAAGTGGCAACTATTAATAACATCAAGAACTCTTATAGATGATTTTTTTTCTTTAAAGAGTAACATGATCCATTAAAAAGTTGAAAATTAATCGCATCAAAGTCACATAAATAAGTTTTATTTTTACTTATATTTTAAACAAGCAGAATTACTTGGTAATCACTTCATTCCCCCACTTTTTCCCTTTTTAATTTTTTTAAATTTTATTTATTTATTTTTTTTGGAGACAGAGTCTTTCACTGTTACCCGGGCTGGATTGCAATGGCGCAATCTCGGCTCACTGCAACCTCTGTCTCCCGAATTCAAGTGATTCTCCTGCCTCAGCCTCCCGCCACCATGCTTGGCTAATTTTTTTTTTTTTGTATTTTTTTAGTAGAGACGGGGTTTCACTGTGTTGGCCAGGCTGGTCTCAAACTCCTAACCTCAAGTAATCCACCCGCCTCAGCCTCCCAAAGTGCTGGGATTACAGGTGTGAGCTACTGCGCCCAGTCTTTTTTCTTTCTTTCACTCTTTTCGTTTTGTATCATGAACTTGCAGTGATCCTGCTCTGAAGGTTATCTATCCATCTACAATCTGTCTGTTGATTAGGAGTCAGGAACTGCACTCTGGTTCCTACCTCTATCATTTACCAGTCATATGATGATAAGCATAATACATTATCACTCTGAAACTCATTTTCCAAATATTTAAAATGTGAAATAATACTTTCCCTGTTTGTGCCAAGGTATACTGAAAGTCATCAAAAGGTAAGCTAAATTAATATATGTATATATTAGTTTTAGAAATAAATATTCTAAGTTTTAAGTCTTATGAAATTTTATACTACATACATTTTAAACATTTAATATTTTCCACCAATGCCTTTAATTTCAGTTAATTAATATCAAATAGTAAATAGGACACCTTCATGTATAAATTGACCTATTTAAATATTTAAATTGAGCTTTTTTCCTAGAATTTTTCTCTATATTTCTCCCTTCTCTCCCTTTGCTATTTGAACTATTCATATACATTTTATATTAGCCTAGTTAGGATAAACGGTGATTTTTCTATTCTTGTCTATTCAACAAAAGTAGAGCCAATTAATATTAATTAAATTCTCATCCTATTCTGCAGGACAAAGGGATTTTTAAAAGAAATTATTATGGTTGGCCTACTTATTTCACATTGTAAAATTTACTAAAGTTTATGGATGAATCAACACATGCTTCTTTTCTCTGTTTTTCTTTAAGTCTCCTTTCCCATAGCATATATGCCACTTTCATGACAGGGACTTTTTGCGAGTCAAAGTGCATTCAGTTAAAGTCGCCCATGTCATGGCTGTCTGCATGCCTGGGGCTATGCTTTGTGTTCCATTCTCATTATTTTTAACAAGCAGTCAAAACAGTATTTGTCCACGGGGCCATACAAATGCCTCAGTACTTTAGGCACATCATATAGTTACTTTAGGCTTATCACACATTCTAAAACAGAAAGAAATTTTAGAGCATTTCTAAGACTCATCTAAGAACCTGTAGTGAGACTTTTTGTCATTTGCTGACAATCTTTCAAAGAATGTCAAATGAAAGCACATTTTAACAAAGCTAAAATTATGCCAGCAGGCTTATTTGTTTTATCTGAATTAGTTAAGCAGCTTTCAAGACAAATCAGAAATTTCTTGGAAGTTCATTAAGCTGCCCTAAGGGAGACATGACAAAATTATTCTTTGAATAAAGCACTACGTTTTAAAACAACACATTTGTCAAGATGGTCAGTTGAAGAGACCCTATTGCTAATATCTGATTTAAACTTGGTAAGGTCTCATTTTGATTTTATCTATTAATTTTTATTGTCCAAATAAACGTTTTTTATTTGTTTAGGCTGTGCTGTGCAGTATGATAGCCACTAACCACGTGGCTATTAAAATTAAAATGGAATTAATTAAGAATTTAGTTCCTTAGTAGCACTAGCTACTAAGTACTTTCAAGGACTCTACAGCAACGTGTGACTGGTGGCTACTGCATTGTTCTCACACAGATTACCGTCCTTGCAGAAAATTCTGTTGTGAAGTGTTGCTTTAGAGAGAGACTGTCCACTCTGTTACTCAATTTATTATGTCAAGTGATAAGCCTCACATTTCTATAAGTACTTAAATGTTTTAAAGCATGTTCAAAAATCTTCTATGCAGGTATGTCTACTCCATACTAAGTGCTTATTCTTCCCAATTCTGCCCCTGTGATATTATCATCCTCATATTATGACTGAAGAAATTAAAGGTCAAAAAGATTAAGCTGAAAGTAGCATGTCTGGTAAGAGGTAAGCATAAAACTGTGATCCATATCTATCTGACTCCTGAATATTTTTCCATTTCATCAGATAAGGAGATGTCATTGCAGGAACTTCACCCCAAAGTGCTCACTTAAAAATCATCTAAATGTTAGTTTTTTTGAGGAACCTCAAAACTGTTCTCCTTAGTGGTTGTACTAATTTACATTCCCACCAACAGTATTCAAGAGTTCCCTGTTTTCCAAATCCTTCTCTTTCTGTTTTCACTTCATATACTCAAACATATCTGCATTTCACCGAAATTTGCTCAAGAGGTTTGTAGCCTTCCATTCCTGAATGAATTTATAAATAAATATATCTTTACAATAGATCAGCATTAGTTGAGAAATTTTCCCATATTATATATCCTCCAGGTCAAAACCTTCAGATGATATATATCAGAATGTCTTATTTATATGTTTTGGGGCATATTTTTAACACTAGTTATTATATAGATCATAGTTTGGCAGAATATTTATAAAAGTGTGAAAATCCCCTGAACATATCTATCTGAAACATGCACATTAGTTATTTCATTAACATATATTTTCCAAGATCATTCAAGTGCATTGTACTATTTCACATACCCAAATCTGAGTTATCTATTTCTCTTTATAACATATAAGTAATTTAAAAGAATTGATCATTAACTTGATAAATGTGCCCCCTCTGCACATATTTTGAAGAATACCAAATATTCTATCTATTCTTCTCTCTAACTTCTCCATCCTAAGACCCAAATCAAGCCAGAATAGGTTATTCAAATTAACTGATTGACTCTTTTTTGTTAAAAGGCTTACTTACCCTTTACAACAAATGAACACTCTGTTTTCAAATAATTGTAAAAAAAGAAAATATTTAACATTAACAGAACATTGACTAAAATTTAATCTCAATTTGATGATTCAGGATATGCTAAAGACCTTGCCTTACCTTGAAATCCTCATGAAAAATATTTATCTATATATGTTCAGAAATGCTAGTAATAAATTAAATTGTTCTAGTCACCTCTCAAATAGATTTATTTGGCACCATATCAAATGGCAAGATAAAATTTGTGTATCTAAAGTAATCACTAGGAAAAATTGATAATCAGATTTATGGATTCATTCTTAATGATTTGCTTATATCAAGTTTTTGGCAGAAGCATGACTGGACAGATTAAAAGAATGAAGCTGGGCAAACTACTGATTTGTAAGTAGCAGGGCTAACCTCCTTGTCTGATCCCTTTATAGATTAATGGAAACACAACTGTTTGAAAATGAATATACATACCATGAAAATTCATAATCCACATGTAATTGCAAAAACTGCATTGATGAATTTTCTCCACTATGCTTTAAATTACATAAATTTTGAAAAATTGGGGTGATGGCTTACTCAAAATTTGAAATACATTAATATCATTTTATTTTACTCTTTAAAAAATGAGATGATATCTTTAACAAAGTGATTTTAAAACGCACCTTAATTAGTTCGTAGTTTTGAACTCCGTTTATGCCTACGTCAGGATCAACAGCCGCTGGGAGAGTATATTTAGAGTTTATAGCCGAGTTCTCTGGAATTGATATGTTGATAACTGTTGCTGGGAACAATGGTGCATTATCATTTATATCTTCTATCAGAAAACGTATCTTAACCAGTCTAAATATTTCATCCGGCAAAATGGCAACCTCCACTTCATAAAAGCAATGCTCATCCCTTGGGATACCAGCACATAATTTCTCACGATCAATGCGAGCGCCGGTAGTGAAGATCTCACCAGTATCCTCTTCAATTCGAATCAGTGGCACATCTCCGGTCTTGTACACTAGCTTGAACTGCATAGTAGTTGTCAAGGACTTGTTTGGAATCAGCGACAAGTTAAGGTCTTTCAACAAGTTGCCTATCAGGACGTTTTCTGGAATTTCTTCTCGGATGGTGTAGTTTTTCTCCTGGGCGCCAGAGTGGAACACCACGCATACTAGCAGGACCGCGAAAATGTACGTCCCGGACAACAAACACTTGTGACAGTTTGTTGTATTAACCCGCACAACACTGACCAAAAGAAGAGGAGAGAGAGAAGAGGAAGAAGAAATTATTAAGAAGCCAACCCTAAACATGCATGTTAACAAAAACTGTTTTAAATTAAAATCAGTAAATGAGATGTTAGCATAATTGACACTCTGTTAATTAGTGATAAATCTGTTCTGAATCAAATATTATGAATTCGTACATTAAGAATAAAGATAAATGAAATAAGATACCTACAGTATCAAAAATGACACAGAGTACCTATAAAAGTGTCCACCATTGATAAATATATAAAAGATAATACTTTAATATACCAAGATAGTTAAAGAGAATACAAATAATTAAAATATTTAATTCAATAGTTAAGGGAAAATAAAGGGTATTTGTTACAAATCACAAAATATAATCATTATTCTTTGTTATAACATGGGTTTAAAATGCAATTATTCTCTTGGCAATGAATAATTTATACAATAGTCCATTTCTTCAGCTCTGGGCATCAAAGTGAAAAAAAATTGATCTGGATAAAAGGAGGCAAGGAATCATTATAAAGGAGGGACTAATAAAGTTTGATTTGAAGAAGAGAAGTTTGGGAGAGGAGAGGGGTTGATGTGACTAACGCCTAAACATGGTAACAACTATCATGTGAAAAGGGGATTAGAGGATTTTTCTTTGGATAAGAAAAACAAGAATAGCTATTAATATAAAGTACAAGTAAGCAACTTTCAGATTGACATAACTGCTTATTAAAGGATTCTGAAAAAAAAAAGGTTTCAGGATATTTCAGGAGTGTATTCCATATCTTTGGAGGTACTGGACCACCAGATTAGATCTACTATATTTGCTTTAGATACACGGATTTGGTAGATGACGTCCAAACATTCAATGGGAGAGTTAGACTAGAAGACATCCCAACCCTGAGAATTTATGTTTATAGAACGCAGAAGGTAGTTCATATAAAAATGGGTTTTCACATCTATAGACTAACAGGAATTATACAACTTCAAGGAACAGCTTGAGAAGGGCTTGAAAATAAGAAAGGCATTTAAAAACAGTACCGAGTTGAAAGTGAGTCAAAAATCAATCTCTCTTGCTACTTCTCCCTATTATTTTTCACTCACTGAAAGCTTTAAAATTATTTCAGTTCTTGAACTCTTCTGACAAAATTCAATGAGGGATTTTGATTTTCTTAAAATCTGCAAATTTTACCTTCAGTTTCCTTTCATAATTCTCAATTCTTATTCTCTATTTTATTTATTCTCAAGTTTATATATTAAATATCTTTTAATCTCTAGTATAATTAAACATTCTAATGTGCTTCTTCTGGATAGTACTTGTAGATGATATATTATATAAACAAAATTAAATTTGTATCACACTGAGCTAAAGCCTATCAGATGTCATACTTTTATAATTAAATGAAGGTTAATGCAACTATTAAGGTATTTAGCAGTTTTGAAAACTCAGTGTTCAGGTGGTTATTTAAAATTCCATTCCAGAAATGTATTAATGCATATAGGTAACCAATTAAGGAATTTCTCAATATTTATTGGTAATCGATAACATCAACAAGTTTTAGTAATTGTTCTAAAAACAGGAGGACTACATATGATATAAATAACTTGTTATGGATATTGTGCTCTGGTTATGCCAAGCAATGTGTTATATGAAATAACTGTCCCATTGCATAGCTGCACATCTGCATTTTTTAAAATATGCATATGCCAATGTTGGAATACACAAAATTGGAAAAAAAGAAATCTTTCTATTTACAATCAATAATCAAATAAATGCATCTGTTGCAACAATCAAGATAGTTTAGGTCAGCAGTAGACTTAAAATATCTCATTAATTTTTATCACAACATTTTAAAAATATATATTATGAATTCAATGACTTTCCTATGTTAAGCAGTTGGTATCATATATAAAATATGTTAGTTATGATAGTGAGTAATGCTAGAGGTGAAGACATTATTTATCCTAGTAAACAACATAAAAACACTGTTGCCTGTGGTATAGTATTTTTAGCATCATTTGTACAATGATGTGCATTGGGATTACATAATATAAAAACTCGCTCAAAATTCAGTCTTGTGAATTTTTGGTTTTATACTCTGTTATGAAGGTGAGATTAAAAATACCCCATTGATACTACCAGCTAATATGCACACATATATGTGTTCTATATGCTGTGAATCTAGCATATCTAAGACGTTTTGGATGCTTATGTGATTTTATAAATGTCATGCAAACATAAGCAGAAATAAAAATGGGGCAGTGACAATTGGAATTAAAATTATCGCTCTATTCTTATCTTACCCTTAGGTATTACACATTATTACAACTGGCAGAAGAATACTACAGACTGTTTTTAAAAACATTGCAGGATATTCTGACTTATAAGTGGGAGCTAAATGATGAGAACTCATGGACATATACAGGGGAACAACACACACTGGGGCCTATTGGAGGTTGGAAGATGGGAGGAGGGAGAGGATCAGGAAAAATTAATGGGTACTAGGCTTAATACCTGGGTGACGAAATAATCTGTACAACAAACCCCCATGACACAGGTTTACTTACATAAACCTACACTTGTACCCCTGAACTCAGAATAAAAGTTAAATTAAAAAAAAAAAAAAGATAAAACCACCTTGAATTCCTGGGATAACCGCCCAAAATGAAAAACAAAATAAAGCAAAATAAAGAAATAAAAGCATTGCATGCATGTCGCAATATCTCTACACAACATAAATAATTAATAGAGTGATCTAGTTCCAAGAAGTCACCCTCCCTCAATCCATTCTAAATCTGTTCTACTCTATCTTTATTTTTAATTTTTTTAATTATACTTTAAGTTCTAGGGTACATGTGCACAACATGCAGGTTTGTTACATATGTATACATGTGCCATGTTGGTGTGCTGCACCCATTAACTCGTCATTTAACATTAGGTATATCTCCTAATGCTACCCTTCCCCCCTCCTCCCACCCCACAACAGGCCCCGATGTGTGATGTTCCCCACCCTGTGTCCAAGTGTTCTCATTGTTCAATTCCCACCTATGAGTGAGAACATGTGGTGTTTGGTTTTCTGTCCTTGCAATAGTTTGCTGAGAATGATGGTTTCCAGCTTCATCCTTGTCCTTAAAAAGGACATGAACTCATCCTTTTTTATGGCTGCATAGTATTCCACAGTGTATATGTGCCACATTTTCTTAATCCAGTCTATCATTGATGGACATTTGGGTTGGTTCCAAGTCTTTGCTATTGTGAATAGTGCCACAATAAACATACATGTGCGTGTGTCTTTATAGCAGCATGATTTATAATCCTTTGGGTATATACCCAGTAATGGGATGGCTGGGTCAAATGGTATTTCTAGTTCTAGATCCTTGAGGAATTGCCACACTGTCTTCCACAATACCATCATCATATAAAACATTTTAAAATGTGTTTCATAACCGGAAATTCATTCAGTGGTTTTAAAAACAGGGAAGAAATATTGAGAAAAAATACCATTTCTAAAGCTTAAGTGAATATATATGTTGCCAACCTAGAAGGAATATTCACCCTCTAGTTAATAAAGAGTTTGAGATGAAATGAACTCATGGAGGTTTAGCCACTTATTCAACAAATACTTATTAAGCAATTTTTATATGTCAAGCACAGTTCTAGACACTGAAGGTACATCAGTGAACAAAACAGAGTTTATATTTGATAATATATTCTAGTATGTCTTTAATTCAGTGTTCAATTACTGTATAATGAACTCATCTCTGCTTCTACCAGGATGTGAACATGCATGTTTAAGTAACCTCAATCTCCAGATTTTGATTTCAACTCTCACATTTGCCACTTGAAAATTTATTATCTTTAAAATTTATTAAGTTTTCTTTGAAAATGCTGAGTTTAATTCTTTGAATGAACAGTACAGAAATTTAGCTACTAAATATGGATATAAATAATCACTGCTTAGTCTTATGGAAGCATGGCACATTTAACTCAGATATCCAGGGAAAATATGCCTACATACGTATCTTAATGTATGTAAATTACATTCTAATTTTTCTGTCTCATGAAAAATGTGACAAGGTAACCTTAAATTTCTTTGCCCTTCTCCTACAACCCACTCCTACTATAGATTAATGTTAGTTTGGAAATTGATAAAGGAAACAACACAAAAGAAGATATAAAGAACTAAAATTTTTGACAAGTTCCAGTAGTGCCCATGCTATTTAAGTGATGCCCTTTATCAGCAAGACATCACGGTTGGGTAAGCAATAGTTGTATTTAGAGGGACACAATAATGACAATTAGAGAAAGCAAAAGCAGAAATAAAATAAGCATCTCTGAAAATTTAAAGATATATAAAGCAAAAATGGAAGTTCATTTTATCATCTCTGAGTAGGTAAGGGAGCTAGGCATCTACTATACGCAATTCTAGAAATTTCAAACCACACAATTAATGTTCAAATGCTTTGTCAGAAGAATTTCAAGGCATAATTTCCTTGATATTTTTTAAATTTTTTCTGCATTATAGTGCTGGTTTCATTTGTAATATATTTAAATGAATTCTATGTGAATTACTGGATCATATGCTACAACAACAAACACATGAGTGAATGGTTTATATGCTACAATTTTTGTACAATTTCTACAATAGTACAAATTTAAGTATTACATGAAGATAAGAAATATCTATCTGCTGCCCATTATCCTAACTCCACTTAAATCTCATCATTCCAATTATTTCAATGTTTCATTAAGTCAAAAATACACCATTTAACAGCCATAATATGTTAGGTGGTCACTACTGTTGTGTTCTTGGTCTCAAATACAAGCAAAGCTTCTTTCACAGCCTGGGTAAACAATAAGGTAGTTCTTGAGGTTGACAGGAATCTAGAACATTGCAATAAAAGTAACCACACTGGGAGAAAGACAAATTGGAGCAACCGATAAACCTAGTATTTTCAGAGGAACTGACCACAGCAAGCAGAGGCGGGCAAGGGCATTGGCTGTCCAATTTTATGTAATTATTTCCTGTGTATTCTGAAACTTGAGATGTCAAAATAAAAAATTTAATAAGGCACAGTAATTATATAACTGGTTTGTTAAATTTTATTCCACAAACAGCTTGCTTACTGTACTTATTGTACATGTCTAATTTTTCACATTTGGGTCTAAACTTCTCTGAGAAGTGGATTCCATCAATGCTGCTTCCTTCTCCAAATTATTTATTGTTTGCTGATTCATTCTATCATTCCAACAACAGTTAGTGTGGTGTTCTCTAACAGGGTTTCAAAATCTGATAATAATCAAGCTCAAATAGCACTTAATAAGACAAATTCTAAAGGTTTCTCTTCTATATTAATTTTTCTGGATTTTTGATATATGATTTAGGGAACATTTGAAACATGGCTTTACAGAATAATCAAGCAAGAGACACATTCTTCATGGCAAAAATATAACGTTTGTCTATCATCACACATTCTTCTATTGCCTCAGGGTGAATGTAATATTGCTTGTTTCAGTATCTAATAATTATTTTACTGTACTTTGTCAACAAGTACCAGATTATCATAATAAATAAGTCCTAAATTCATCAAAAAGGATAATTTCCACTTGGTGTAGTATTTGAATTGCTCTATGTGATTTTAAATCAGTTATTTCATTTAATCTGTATAACAACTATGTGATATATATACATATCTGTAGGCATTGCTTTATATATTAAATATTTTTTATCAAATAGGCATTAATTTCACATTCTGTAAATTTTCTAGATAATCACATTTTAAGAAGGTAACCAAAGGTCCCTCGTGTAAAGGAAAAGTGTTTGCAAAAGAAAAGAGAAAGAAACAGAAAGTGATGGGCTTGGAATCTATTATTCATGGGTGAAATTATGGAGGTGGTATAGCATCACAAAATTAAAGAGATCAAGGGGTATGGAGAGGTGATGTTCAATAATGGAGGGTTCAGGCATGACAATTTTAGTCATTTGTTAACAAATGTGGTTTCTTCATATATATATATAATTGTGTGTGTGTGTGTGTGTAATATATATATTTGTGTCTTCACTGGGTATTTGCTGAAAAGGCTATTTTGAGTTTTATATATAAGGATAAGTAGTACTTCTATTAGTCACTATTCCATGAATTAATAAAACAGTACACAAAACAGTATTATATCTATGAGTTTTATATATAAGGCTAAATAATACTTCTATTAGTCACTATTCCATGAATTAATAAAACAGTACAGGAAAACAGGTAGTAATATATCTATCATATTAGTGTTTAAATTATCTATGTACAAAGACCAATTAATATTTTACTATTGATTGCACACCTCCCCAAACTTCAGTACTAATTGCAATATCTGCACAAAGCATTTTATCAGATTACTCCCCTATATACGTATGGTGCATATTCTAGCATGACTTAATTTATTTTTTGTGTTGGGGTCTAAATTATCAAATTACAATGCAGTAAAATCAACAGTTGAAAGCAAATGAGATATAGCACCAGAATCTTGGAAGTGATGGCTAAAAACAAGATCCAAGTTGATGGTCTGTAAAACAAATCAAGGTAAGATATTAGTTGTCAGAAAATGAATTATATCCATCAACTTATTGTTCCAAGGAACAGAGAAATGACTTTAATAGTTGCATTCATTCACCCCGTGAGACAATGAAGCTCTTCCTATTAAGATGACTTTGGAGTTGCACAATCCATAATCAGTAACTACACATCTTAGAACGCTAAGGAAAAATGACATAGCAACCTTTTAAAACCAATCTTAAGACTTGGTTTATCAACTGCCTAATAACAGATGCCTCAGCCTAAAGGTTCAACAATATTCCTTATCCTTTTAGTTCTCAGTTTTTTACACATATTTTAATATTATTTCTGTGATTTTTGTTTTGTGTCACCTCAAAACCAAAAAAATGGATAACCAATTAAAAATGACAACATTAATTAATAAATGAATAGAAAAACAACTGAACCATAAATGTGACACACACAAGCCATATTTCGAATCTTCAGTTGTGATACACTTAGAGTAGAAAAAATGATAAAGAATTCTGCCTTTTGGCCGAAGCGGGCGGATCACGAGGTCAGGAGATGGAGACCATTCTGGCTAACATGGTGAAACCCCGTCTCTACTAAAAAATACAAAAAATTAGCCAGGCGTGGTGGCGGGCGCCTGTAGTCCCAGCTATGCGGGAGGCTGAGGCAGGAGAATGGCGTGAACCCGGGAGGCGGAGCTTGCAGTGAGCTGAGATCGCTCAACTGCAATCCAGCCTGGGTGACAGAGCGAGACTCCATCTCAGAAAAAAAAAAAAAAAAGAATTCTGCCTTTTAAAATGGAATTTGCATTAATAAGTATAATCAAACACTATTTCATGGATAGAAAGAATAAATATCATTAAAATGGGATACCACCCAAAACAATTTACAGATTGTTATTCATATGAAACTACCAATGACACTCTTCACAGAAGTAGAAAAAAACTATGTTAAAATTCATATGGAACAAAAAAAGACCCCAAATAGTCAAGGCAATCCTAAGCAAAAAGAACGAAACATGAGGCATCACATTACCTGACTTCAAACTATACTACAGGGCTACAGTAACGGTACTGGTGCAGAAACAGACACATAGACGAATAGAACAGAATAGAGAGCCCAGATAAAAGGCCACACACCTATAACCACGTGATCATCCACAAAGCTGAAGAAAACAAGCAGTAGGGAAAAGACTCCTTACACAACAAATCGGGCTGGGACATCTGGGTAGCCATGTGCAGACAATTGAAACTGGACCCCTTTCTTACACCATGTACAAAAGTCAACTCAAAATGAATTAAATATCCATAAAACCCAAAACTATAAAACCTTGGAAGACAACCTAGGGAATTCCATCCTGGACAAAGGAAGTGGCAAAGATTTCATGATGAACATGCCAAAAACAATCACAACAAAAGCAAAATTGACAAATGGGATCTAATTAAATTTAAGAGCTTCTGCAGAGCAAAAGAAACCATCAATAGAGTAAACAGACGGTCTACAGAATGGGAGAAAATATTTGCTAACTATGCATCTGACAAAGGTCTAATATCCAGCATTTATAAGGAACTTAAGTTTACAAGAAAAAAACAACCCCATGAACAAGTAGGCAAAGGACATGAGGAGACACTTTTCAAAAGAAGACAGTAACATGTGGCCAGCAAGCATATGAAAAAAAGCTCAATATCACTGATCATTAGAGAAATGCAAATCAAAATCTCAATGAGATATCATCTCACACTAGTCAGAATGGCTACTATTAACAAGTCAAAAATAACATATGCTGGCGAGGTTGCAGAGAAAAGAGAATACTTTTACAATGTTGGTGGGAGTGTAAATTAGTTCAACTATAGTGGGAAGCAGCATAGTGATTCCTCAAAGAGGTAAAACTAGAACTACCATTTGACCAGTAATCCCATTACTGGGTAACTACCCAGAGGAACATAAATCATTTTACCATAAAGACACATGCACACAAATGTTCACTGCAGCACTATTCACAATAGTAAATACATAGAATCAACCTAAATGTCCATCAATAACAGACTGAATAAAGAAAATGTGGTACATATACATCATGGAATACTATGCAGCAATAAAAACTAAGGAGATCATGTCCTTTGCAAGACCATGGATGGAACTGGAGGCCATTATCCTCAGCAAACTAATGCAGGAACAGAAAACCAAATATTGAATGTTCTCATTTTTAAGTGGGATGTAAATGATGAGAACTGATAGACACAAAAAAAGGAACAACAGACTCTAGGGACTAATTGAGCATGGAGCGTGGGAGGAGGGAGAAGAGCAGAAAAAAAAAATTGCATACTAGTCTTAGTACCTGGGTGATGAAATAATTTGTATAGCAAACTCCTGTGGCATGAGTTTACCTATATAACAAACCCGCACATGCATACCTGAACCTAAAATAAAAGTTAAAGAAATAAAGTAAATATTTTTCCCATTAAAAAATAAGTAAAATGGAATTTGCATTTATAAGTTAAAATAAACCCTACTTCTTGTGTGTTCTTTAGTTTCACTATAAAAGCATGTACTGGGTTCAGCCTGGTTTTCAGGAAGGAATAGCATCTATAAGAGAAAATTCAAATGTATTTACAAGATGTTCATACAAAGATAAGGTATAAATGTTAGTGTTTGTATAATTTTTCCTTTCTCTTTCATCTAGGTAAATACATAAGAAAATGTTTTCTCTATTTAGCAATATTCTTTATACTTACAATGAGTTACTATTTCAACTGTGTCTTAATACATTTTAACTCCAAATATAAATGTAATATTAACCATTTAAACTTCAATTTGGGCATTCAAAATAACCTTGCTACATGTGAGAAAATTTAATTTTAGAGAAGGCCTGTTGGGTCCTGCTTCAAAAGTATTAGTATATTTGAAAGTGCAAAAAGATGAGCGGTAAAAATTAGACGTTTCTCAAGACAACTCCCTACGTAATACACAAAGATTGAGCTCTTCAAAAATAACAATTTAGATATAAAATTTATTCTCTATAAATATCAGTTTTAAATGTAAACAACTGTATAGATCCATAATATTTTATATTATGAATCTCAACTCAAAGCAAATGAATCATTCCAAATATATACCAACAATTTTAAGACATTATATTTAACTTAGCAGTTCATGGGCACTGTACCAAATACACAGTAAGTGCTTAAGAAATGCTTGCTGGAGGGAGGAGCCAAGATGGCCGAATAGGAACAGCTCCGGTCTACAGCTCCCAGCGTGAGCGACGCAGAAGACAGATGATTTCTGCATTTCCATCTGAGGTACTGGGTTCATCTCACTAGGGAGTGCCACACAGTGGGCGCAGGTCAATGGGTGCGCGCACCGTGCGCGAGGCGAAGCAGGGCGAGGCACTGCCTCACTCGGAAAGCGCAAGGGGTCAGGGAGTTCCCTTTCCTAATCAAAGAAAGGGGTGACGGATGGCACCTGGAAAATCGGGTCAATCCCACCTGAATACTGCGCTTTTCCGACGGGCTTAAAAAACGGCGCACCACGAGATTATATCCCACACCTGGCTCGGAGGGTCCTACGCCCACGGAGTCTCGCTGATTGCTAGCACAGCAGTCTGAGATCAAACTGCAAGGCGGCAGCGAGGCTGGGGGAGGGGCGCCCGCCATTGCCCAGGCTTCCTTAGGTAAACAAAGCAGCCCGGAAGCTCCAACTGGGTGGAGCCCACCACAGCTCAAGGAGGCCTGCCTGCCTCTGTAGGCTCCACCTCTGGGGGCAGGGCACAGACAAACAAAAAGAAAGCAGTAACCTCCGCAGACTTCAATGTCCCTGTCTGACAGCTTTGAAGAGAGCAGTGGTTCTCCCAGTATGCAGCTGGAGATCTGAGAACACGCAGACTGCCTCCTCAAGTGGGTCCCTGACCCCTGACCCCCGAGCAGCCTAACTGGGAGGCACCCCCCAGCAGGGGCACACTGACACCTCACACTGCAGGGTACTCCAACAGATCTGCAGCTGAGGGTCCTGTCTGTTAGGAGGAAAACTAACAAACAGAAAGGACATCCACACCAAAAACCCATCTGTACATCACCATCATCAAAGACCAAAAGTAGATAAAACCACAAAGATGGGGAAAAAACAGAACAGAAAAACTGGAAATTCTAAAAAGCAGAGCACCTCTCCTCCTCCAAAAGAACACAGCTCTTCACCAGCAACGGAACAAAGCTGGACAGAGAATGACTTTGACGAGCTGAGAGAAGAAGGCTTCAGACGATCAAATTACTCTGAGCTACGGGAGGACATTCAAACCAAAGGCAAAGAAGTTGAAAACTTTGAAAAAAATTCAGAAGAATGTATAACTAGAATAACCAATACAGAGAAGTGCTTAAAGGAGCTGACGGAGCTGAAAACCAAGGCTCGAGAACTACGTGAAGAACGCAGAAGCCTCAGGAGCTGATGCGATCAACTGGAAGAAAGGGTATCAGCGATGGAAGATGAAATGAATGAAATGAAGTGAGAAGGGAAGTTTAGAGAAAAAAGAATAAAAAGAAACGAGCAAAGCCTCCAAGAAATATGGGACTATGTGAAAAGACCAAATCTACGTCTGATTGATGTACCTGAAAGTGATGGGGAGAATGGAACCAAGTTGGAAAACACTCTGCAGGATATTATCCAGGAGAACTTCCCCAATATAGCAAGGTAGGCCAACATTCAAATTCAGGAAATACAGAGAACGCCACAAAGATACCCCTCGAGAAGAGCAACTCCAAGACACAGAATTGTCAGATTCATCAAAGTTGAAATGAAGGAAAAAATGTTAAGGGCAGCCAGAGAGAAAGGTCGGGTTACCCTCATAGGGAAGCCCATCAGACTAACAGCAGATCTCGCGGCAGAAACCCTACAAGCCAGAAGAGAGTGGGGGCCAATATTCAACATTCTTAAAGGAAAGAATTTTCAACCCAGAATTTCATATCCAGCCAAACTAAGCTTCATAAGTGAAGGAGAAATAAAATACTTTACAGACAAGCAAATGCTGAGAGATTTTGTCACCACCAGGCCTGCCCTAAAAGAGCTGCTGAAGGAAGCACTAAACATGGAAAGGAACAACCGGTACCAGCCACTGCAAAATCATGCCAAAATGTAAAGACTATCGAGACTAGAAAGAAACTGCATCAACTAACAAGCAAAATAACCAGCTAACATCATAATGACAGGATCAAATTCACACATAATACTATTAACTTTAAATGTAAATGGACTAAATGCTCCAATTAAAAGACACAGACTGGCAAATTGGATAAAGAGTCAAGACCTATCAGTGTGCTGTATTCAGGAAGCCCATCTCAGGTGCAGAGACACACATAGGCTCAAAATAAAAGGATAGAGGAAAATCTACCAAGCCAATGGAAAACAAAAAAAGGCAGGGATTGCAATCCTAGTCTCTGATAAAACAGACTTTAAACCAACAAAGATCAAAAGAGACAAAGAAGGCCATTACATAATGGTAAAGGGATCAATTCAACAAGAAGAGCTAACTATCTTAAATATATATGCACCCAATACAGGAGCACCCAGATTCATAAAGCAAGTCCTGAGTGGCCTACAAAGAGACTTAGACTCCCACACATTAATAATGGGAGACTTTAACACCCCACTGTCAACATTAGACAGATCAACTAGACAGAAAGTCAACAAGGATACCAAGGAATTGAACTCAGCTCTGCACCAAGCGGACCTAATAGACATCTACAGAACTCTCCACCCCAAATCAATAGAATATACATTTTTTTCAGCACCACACCACACCTATTCCAAAATTGACCACATACTTGGAAGTAAAGCTCTCCTCAGCAAATGTAAAAGAACACAAATTATAACAAACTATCTCTGAGACCACAGTGCAATCAAACTGGAACTCAGGATTAAGAAACTCACTCAAAACCGCTCAACTACATGGAAACTGAACAACCTGCTCCTGAATGACTACTGGGTACATAACGAAATGAAGGCAGAAATAAAGATGTTCTTTGAAACTAACGAGAACAAAGACACAACGTACCAGAATCTCTGGGACGCATTCAAAGCAGTGTGTAGAGGGAAATTTATAGCACTAAATGCCCACAAGAGAAAGCAGGAAAGATCAAAAATTGACACCCTAACATCACAATTAAAAGAACTAGAAAAGCAAGAGCAAACACATTCAAAAGCTAGCAGAAGGCAAGAAATAACTAAAATCAGAGCAGAACTGAAGGAAATAGAGACACAAAAAACCCTTCAAAAAATTAATGAATCCAGGAGCTGGTTTTTTGAAAGGATCAACAAAATTGATAGACTGCTAGCAAGACTAATAAAGAAAAAAAGAGAGAAGAATCAAATACACACAATAAAAAATGATAAAGGGGATATCACCACTGATCCCACAGAAATACAAACTACCATCAGAGAATACTATAAACACCTCTGTGCAAATAAACTAGAAAATCTAGAAGAAATGGATAAATTCCTTGACACGTACACTCTCCCAAGACTAAACCGGAAGAAGTTGAATCTCTGAATAGACCAATAACAGGATCTGAAATTGTGGCAATAATCAATAGCTTACCAACCAAAAAGAGTCCAGGACCAGATGGATTCACAGCCGAATTCTACCAGAGGTACAAGGAGGAACTGATACCATTCCTTCTGAAACTATTCCAATCAATAGAAAAAGAGGGAATCCTCCCTAACTCATTTTATGAGGCCAGCATCATCCTGATACCAAAGCCGGGCAGAGACACAACCAAAAAAGAGAATTTTAGACCAATATCCTTGATGAACATTGACGCAAAAATCCTCAATAAAATACTGGCAAAACAAATCCAGCAGCACATCAAAAAGCTTATCCACCATGATCAAGTGGGCTTCATCCCTAGGATGCAAGGCTGGTTCAATATACGCAAATCAATAAATGTAATCCAGCATATAAACAGATCCAAAGACAAAAACCACATGATTATCTCAATAGATGCAGAAAAGGCCTTTGACAAAATTCAACAACCCTTCATGCTAAAAACTCTCAATAAATTAGTTATTAATGGGACGTATCTCAAAATAATAAGAGCTATCTATGACAAACCCATAGCCAATATCATACTGAATGGGCAAAAACTGGAAGCATTCCCTTTGAAAACGGGCACAAGACATGGATGCCCTCTCTCACCACTCCTATTCAACATAGTGTTGGAAGTTCTGGCCAGGGCAATTAGGCAGGAGAAGGAAATAAAGGGTATTCAATTAGGAAAAGAGGAAGTCAAATTGTCCCTGTTTGCAGATGACATGATTGTATATCTAGAAAACCCCATTGTCTCAGCCCAAAATCTCCTTCAGCTGATAAACAACTTCAGCAAAGTCTCAGGATACGAAATCAATGTACAAAAATCACAAGCATTCTTATACACCAACAACAGACAAACAGAGAGCCAAATCATGAGTGAACTCCCATTCACAATTGCTTCACAGAGAATAAAATACCTAGGAATCCAACTTACAAGGGATGTGAAGGACCTCTTCAAGGAGAACTACAAACCACTGCTCAAGGAAATAAAAGAGGATACAAACAAATGGAAGAACATTCCATGCTCATGGGTAGGAAGAATCAATATCGTGAAAATGGCCATACTGCCCAAGGTAATTTACAGATTCAATGCCATCCCCATCAAGCTACCAATGACTTTCTTCACAGAATTGGAAAAAACTACTTTAAAGTTCATATGGAACCAAAAAAGAGCCCGCATCGCCAAGTCAATCCTAAGCCAAAAGAACAAAGCTGGAGGCATCACACTACCTGAATTCAGACTATACTACAAGGCTACAGTAACCAAAACAGCATGGTACTGGTACCAAAACAGAGATATAGATCAATGGAACAGAACAGAGCCCTCAGAAATAACGCCGCATATCTACAACTATCTGATCTTTGACAAACCTGAGAAAAACAAGCAATGGGGAAAGGATTCCCTATCTAATAAATGGTGCTGGGAAAACTGGCTAGCCATATGTAGAAAGCTGAAACTGGATCCCTTCCTTACACCTTATACAAAAATCAATTCAAGATGGATTAAAGACTTAAACGTTAGACCTAAAACCATAAAAACCCTAGAAGAAAACCTAGGCAATACCATTCAGGACATAGGCATGGGCAAGGACTTCATGTCTAAAACACCAAAAGCAATGGCAACAAAAGACAAAATTGACAAATGGGATCTAATTAAACTAAAGTGCTTCTGCACAGCAAAAGAGACTACCATCAGAGTGAACAGGCAACCTACAAAATGGGAGAAAATTTTCGCAACCTACTCATCTGACAAAGGGCTAATATCCAGAATCTACGATGAACTCAAACAAATTTACAAGAAGAAAACAAACAACCCCATCAAAAAGTGGGCAAAGGACATGAACAGACACTTCTCAAAAGAAGACATTTATGCAGCCAAAAAACACATGAAAAAATGCTCATCATCACTGGCCATCAGAGAAATGCAAATCAAAACCACAATGAGATACTATCTCATACCAGTTAGAATGGCAATCATTAAAAAGTCAGGAAACAACAGGTGCTGGAGAGGATGTGGAGAAATAGGAACACTTTTACACTGTTGGTGGGACTGTAAACTAGTTCAACCATTGTGGAAGTCAGTGTGGCCATTCCTCAGGGATCTAGAACTAGAAATACCATTTGTCCCAGCCATCCCATTACTGGGTATATACCCAAAGGACTGTAAATCATCCTGCTATAAAGACACATGCACACGTATGTTTATTGCGGCATTACTCACAATAGCAAAGACTTGGAACCAACCCAAATGTCCAACAATGATAGACTGGATTAAGAAAATGTGGCACATATACACCATGGAATACTATGCAGCCATAAAATATGATGAGTTCATGTCCTTTGTAGGGACATGGATGAAATTGGAAATCATCATTCTCAGTAAACTATCGCAAGAACAAAAAACCAAACACCACATATTCTCACTCATAGGTGGGAACTGAACAATGAGATCACATGGACACAGGAAGGGGAACATCACACTCTGGGGACTGTTGTGGGGTGGGGGGAGGGGTGAGGGATAGCATTGGGAGATATACCTAATGGTAGATGACGAGTTAGTGGGTGCAGCGCACCAGCATGGCACATGTATACGTATGTAACTAACCTGCACAATGTGCACATGTACCCTAAAACTTAAAGTATAATAATAAAAAATAAAAATAAAAATAAAAATGAAAAAAAGAAAGGAAAAAAAAAAAAGATGCTTGCTGGAGATTCGGGTCACCAATTCTTTTGTTTTAAACCTTTTCCTCCAAGAATATATCACTACAACAACCAGCAAAGACTTCAAGAAATAATCGGAGTGATTTATAATAACTTGGAGTGTTCATTATTTTATGAATTCCATTTTATTCAAAAACCTAAAGTTTTCTGGTAAGAGTATATTTTATGCATGACCTTCACCTGTAGTTATTTTCACTACAAATTATACTAAGTGGTTCTTAGGAAATCAGTTTTTCAAACTATTAGTAAGTAAAATATTTAAATTAATTTAACTAATCCTACATGTTTTCACAATATTTTTAGATTCCTCTTCTTTAAATTTTTTTTTCTGTTTCTCACTTAGGACAACCACAAACCCCACTCCAACTCATTAAGAAATGAAAAATGATTTATCATTAGCCTTCATTCAGCATATTCCATGCCTTCTCACCACAAGTAAAGAACAAGCCTTCAAAGGGGTAATATAATAGTATATTGGAAGAAGAATGAAATGCAACCCCCGTTTTATTTATAAATCAAGAAGTGCATTAACCTCAAAACAATTCTAAGTAACCATCAAATGGGAAATCAAGAATATACAAGTTCTGCCTCTACAGAGTTGGATGCAGTATTGCTTGCTGGACCAACAAACACTAGCCAACTTGTAACTGAGAAATATTCATGAGATGCTTTATTTATATGTTTAAAATAATAATCTTTGTGTTTCACTGTGAACATATGCCCTTGTGTGCATTTATGTGCGTGCATGTGTAGACAGATCACTGTAAGGAAAACTGCCAATTGAAATGCCATCATACTAAACAATAGTTGAAATGCAAGTGGTGTGATCAGGGTTAATCTCACATTAAGGCAGCCCCAAAATAGAAGTTTCATTGTGTTCCATGCCAATACTTTTTTTTTTTTTTTTTGAGATGGAGTCTCACTCTGTCGCGCAGGCTGGAGTGCAGTGGTGCGATTTTGGCTCACTGCAACCTCCCAGGTTCAAGAGATTCTCCTGCCTCAGCCTCCCGAGTATCTGGGACTACAGGCGTGTGCCACCATGCCCGGCTAATTTTTTGTATTTTTTTTTAGTAGAGATGGGGTTTCACCATGTTAGCCAGGATGGTTTTGATCTCCTGACCTCATGATCCACTGGCCTCAGCCTCCCAAAGTGCTGGGATTACAGGCGTGAGCCATCGTGCCCAGTCCACCAATGCAGTTTTAAGTGAGTAATACATTCAGATAAAAAAAAAATTCTTCATGCATTTGCGGTTATTGTTATTTTTATTTAGCTATTGCACTGCTTATAAAAAACGTAATTTGATCTCACATTGGTTTAGAAAAAGAGATTACGAAAAAAGAAAATAAAGGCACCATTCTTTTGATTAGGTACTAGAGGCTCCAATTACTTGGGAGACTTTTTGGTTTTTAGAATTATAACATACTCTGTAATGATTTCAGTTTGTCACAGAGTACAAAATATGTGAAAATGGCCAGTATTTCATTTTAAATTATAATTTCTTTATAGCTGATAAATGTAAAATATTTTCCTATTCCAGAAAATATTAGAAATGCTGAAATATTTTATATTTCCTTTTCAGAGATATCCAACTCCTTAATAGATATCATAGAAGAAGCTACAACAAACACAACTATTTTACACTTGCTAAAACTGGCACTCACTCTAGGAAATTGTGATCACAGGGTACATTAATTCTTTATATAACCTGACAACCCTGGAAAATAAAGACCATTGCTCTTCATGATGAAATTACTTTGCATCAGGACTTGATTTATAGATAGCACAAGAACAAAATTAGAAACAAAGGTGATTGATTATGCCTTGAAAAAAGAACTCTCTTTTCCATACAATAGTTATATTTAGACTATAAGCATCTAGAGCTGTGCAGTCCAATATAGTACCTCTTGCTGTGTGTAGCTGTTAAAATTAAATTTAAGTCAGATTAAAAATTCAATCCCTTAGTTGTACTAAGCACATTTTAAGTGTTCAATTGTCCAATAAGGCTAAGGACTTAAGCACTGGACAGCACAGATTATAGAATATTTCTATTATGACAGAAAGTTCTGTTGGACGGTACTAATCTAGATCAGAAGGTCAGTAACCTTCAACTATGCCTGCACCCAGGACAGTGAAATGATGGCTAGAATATCCAATTCATAGGCAGGGGACAAAAAAGGTATAAAATTAAATAGTACAGTAAAATGTATTCTTGAATCATTTAGGAATGAGTAGTATTTTATGATTCTAAATTTTGAAACTATTAGGCAGTGAATATTTTTAAGATATTGGTAACTTGTTAACTCAAGAAGAAACAATCAAATCTCCCCTCATTTTAAGTTAGAAATCACACTGTTCCAGATCCTCTGAGAGAACAAAAATGCACAGTTTTATAGTTATGAGTAAATAGCATCTTAAAATAGAATTATTTCATAAAACATTATATGATCCCAATAAAACCTATGTGATATCTATATAAATAAATTTACTGTATCTGAGACATAAAAATTATGAAGTGGTAATACACCAAAATAACTCTCCACTTGATAATCTTTAGTATATTGGGTAGGGTCGATAGGAGTTTGGAATACTCACCATGTTCTTCTCATTTATCACCATCATAATCCTTATACAGATAGTATGAAGAATATGATGCATGATAGAAATCATGAATCCTTCAAAAACCTCAAACAGAAAACTGAAGGGTATAGGGCAAATATCCTAATAGACAACTATGTAACTTCATCACTGTCTTGCTTTATGCAATATCAGAAATGCATGCACACTATAAATAAGTACCTGTGATACAGAATCATGCAATGCAAGCCACTGTTTTCTAACATAGCTAATTACCCTTTCACTCTTAATCCATCTCCAATGTCCCTCAGTCCACATTGCCTCATCCTTCCTTAAATATATGCTCAGAGCACTAATATACATTGGCTAACACACACAAATTTCCTCATATTTCTACTTTTGTGCAGACTTTCCCTTGACCTCCAAGTTCTCCACAGTGCTGGATACAGTCTTAATGAATACCACCGATTTAACACTTTTCGTATTATCATATATGTTTTATAAAGAAATAATATTTAATGAAGCCACAGACTCTTGAGAGTTTTAAAAACGTAGAGAAAAAAGTTAAATAACTAGTAAAAGCCATTAAGCACTGAAATGGAAATAGAATCCTTCAATGTTCCCTATACAACATATAGTCTTGTTCCCAATCCCTTTCTTCCCTAAAAAATGAAAAGAAAAGGAATTCATTGCTATTTCTTACGAGTCAGCCCTTCTCCATTTTAATTTGTCTTTCCATTCTATTTGAACGGAATAAACAAATTGGGGCAATGTATGGAAGATCTCATATTCTAATATTTTAATTTTATGATAATTTTCAGAATTTATTACATAATTATACATAAAACAAACTTATATAGGCATTTTGCGTATTGGAGATTTTTTTTTGGTGGGGGGTGGGGACTGAGTCTCGCTCTATTACCCAGGCTGGAGTGCAGTGGTGAAATCTTGGCTCACTGCAACCTCCGCCTCCCGGGTTCAAGTGATTCTCCTGCCTCAGCCTACCAAGTAGCTGGGATTACAGGCACCCACCATCACGCCCAGCTAATTTTTGTATTTTTGGTAGAGACGGGGCTTCACCATGTTGGCCAGGCTGGTCTCAAACTCCTGACCTCAGGTGATCCACCCACCTTGGCCTCCCAAAGTGCTGGGATACTTTTTTACCTTTCCCATATCCACTATATAATGTTGCTTAATTAGTTTTCATTTACATTTACTTATTCCTTTCCCATGTGTCAATATATTAACACGTCAACATGTCAAAATATGCTTTCTTACAGAGTAAGATATTACCTAATATTACTTTCAAACTAGCAATTAAGCCCACAGACTAAAACAAGCTAGAAAAAAATAGGACTTTTATTTCTGTGTTGTGTGCCACATTAATGAGAAAATGCAAAATCAATTTTGTTCACATAGTCATTACCAAGTATATGAAAAAATAATTAGTTGATAGCTCATTTTACCATTCTCACAGAAGACATTTCATAGAGACATTATTTAAATATACTTTTGGTTTGATTTTCTAGTTTTAAAAATAAATGAAAAATTTTTTCATACATAGAATGAACGAAAGACTCCATAGAGATCATTTTTTTGCAATTGTCTTAATGAACAATATTGATGATTTCAGATAAACCATTCATTCAGGGCTTCACATCCATTGTAGCAAGACAATTCATTTAAAGCTATTGCAAAATGTATATGTTATGGAAATTGAGACAGTCATTAATTTCCAATACTAAAAAATGTTTTTATACCCTACTGAAAAAGTAAAGTCATAAAATGTTATTATATCCAAATATAAACTATCCTGGCATTAAAAAATTTAAATTTTTTAAAGAAGTCCTAGCATGAGCTATGGAGCTAGACGGTCTTGTTTTATAATAAATCCAAGATCCACCACTCACTAGCTGTGTGACTTTATGCAAGTTATTTAAATTCTCTGTATCTTTGTGTAAAACAGGGTTAACAATTGTGTCTACCTTATAGTGTTATTGTGCACTAAATGAGTTAATATATGTAAAATACTTAGAACAGTTCCTGGAACATTAATGTTACATGTGTTTGTAATTGTTGATATTGTTATTATAAACTAAAAAAAATAATAAACAAAGGTATTTGTATATCCTGCACTCACAAAGACAAGTCTAATCCTGTGGGAAAAACTAACTGGACTTGAATTCTAGTATTAACTATGCCTTTAGGTATCTGTGACTTTGGACAAGTCATTTAGTCATTCTGTGCCTCATTTTACTCACTGAGGGTGAGTAGCGTTGGGATTTATCTCTAAGATCTTTTCTTGTTCTAGCCATCTGTGATTGAAAGAAGGTTTAATCATAAATACATAATCATTTGCATAATGGATCTCAATTATGAGCAATGCTACAGCTTTAAAAGATCTTACATCACAATTCCACATGCGAAGTCAAAATGTCTTTTCATCAAATGAATATTTCATATAATCTTCAGATTTAAAATTATGTTTATAAGGTTTAAAGACTGTGTGCTCTGTTTTAGGTAGTTAGTGATTTTATAATTGTTCCCAGCTTGGCAACAAATTTTTTTTCATGTAATTTAGATTAAAAAGCTTATTTTAAAAGAGGAATGATTATATTCAACTTTCAAGGTATGTTTGGTAATATTTTGGTAATAAAATTTTTTTTTCAAAATTTTATAACCCTTCATAACATTTTTGAGAAAGACACATCCCAGTGACATTTATCTATAGATATTATTATGATTGGTTTTCAAATGCTTAAACTGAACAATGAATGTTTTTGATAAAACAGGGAACATGTTAACTTATTAGAAGATCTTAATTAATATTTAAATTTTTAAAGAACAAGTATAAATTAGGGAAAGTGGGGAGTTATTTTAATTGGATACGTGCAATATATCTTGAAACTCTGTAATCCAGCACGTGTTGAAAATATTAAAGCAAACACCTCACAAAATCAAGTGCATTTTGAAACAGTATTTGCAACTAAAATATGTGAACTATGGCATCATGATTTTGTCCTGAAAATAATAAAAATTTGACATCTCTAAATTTGATGACTTTAAAATAAAAAAGATAATTAAAACCTGTTACAGCTGACAACAACATTGCACCTTCATAATTTTTCACTAAGTACAGCTGCTAATTTTCAAGAGGAACTGTTAAAGAGAGATTTCACGTAAGAACTGCTTCTCCTCTCTATTTTTATTCAGAAGAAAAGGTTTTTTTTTTAAAACAAAGCATTTCCAAATATATTATCTATCCAACCAGTACTTTTTTTGTGGTCTACTTCCACGTTTTTATGGTGTTGAAAAATAAGTATTCATTATTTTGATAAACATTATATATAACAACCAAACCAAACCGATAACAACAACAACAAAAACTGAAAGCAAAAAAACTATGTTTATTACCTCTCGAAATCTATAGAATCTAAACTCCGAGGCCTAGCATTCAAGGTCCTCAATTAGCTGCTTCTAAGAAATATCTTTCTCTTTAATTTATAATCCATGACCTCTCCTCTTCAGCCGAGCCAACATCTACTCTCTAGCCATAATATTTTCCACATCTTCTCTGGTCATCAAAGGTCATCATCTACTTCAGAGCAATTCAAAACTCATTTCCTCTAAGAAATTTTCAGATTAGCATCACATGGGGAAAATTTGAATAAGCATAAGAGTAACGATAAGGTTAAATGTAAGTGCTTACGGGATTTGTGGTTAAAATATGACAACTGAGGTGATGGCAGTCAGCAAGAAAAAGTCTTAGAGCAATCAGTTTTGGTTTTTTTTAACTTTAAAATGGAAACAAATCTCATCAATATTCAACTAGCATATTCCATTACTCGTCTATTTTTCTTCCACTCCTTAAAAAGTACACAGAATATTGTTTTGAACTGAATGGGCTGAATGTCTTGTTGAATAAGAAATTTTCACCTTGGCCTAATTTGGCTTTACTACCTGAATGTTAATTTTTTGTATCTCCCCTCTACTATCTCAAGTTATCTTAAAACCAAACCTGGTACAAATAACAGGTCTATAAAATGTGGTGTATATATAATGCCACAATAAAGAATAAGATTATATTAAACTGTCAATGATTAAGCTACAGACTGTTTTATTCATGGCAGTTTGTAAATTTAAGCTGTTCCTAAATATGGAAATAATGTGATGAATTATATTCCAACTACCTGCAAGGGACTTGAATAATTTGGGAAGAACTGTGAGGCACAAGGGGAAACTGGTAGGGGCAGAGGATATGGAAAAGACTGCAGAGAAAACATGGAAAGGATGAAGGTGTTAAAGAGAGAAAAGGGATGATTGAGAGGGAAGGAATGATTTTGAGCATTGAGACGAACTAACAAAATAAGAAGTACTCATAGAGTCTGAGCAACAAGCTGTTATGAAAACTTAACTGGGGAAAACTATGGTGACAACAAAGATGGAGAACTTAAAAACTGGGTAGAGACTTGGAAGAATTATAGACACACAAAGAGAACAGGGAGAAATCTGGGAAAACTAACAGAACTGAGAGTGACTTCAATGAACGGAAAACTTGAAGGAATGAAAGGTACAGGGAGGGGATGGGAAGATTTACTGGATCTGGGAGGTCCCAGGCACCATAAAGAGTGGATTTATATACTTGGAGAGAATGATGGAAGTGACAGAGGAGTAATGGAGGGAATAGAAGGGAACAAGAAAAAGAATCATGTAAAAAGTTGTTTAAATCCTTTCTTCTCTAAAGCTTAAAATGTCTGAGAAATTTAACAGTGATTAGAACTTTTAAGAGATTTCTTCTTTGAGCAATGTCAAGGGGAACATATTTCAGTATCTTCTGCCACATGGACAAGAGAAACTGAGAATGAGTATTTGTGACAAATAATTTAAATATATTATTTTTAAGCGTATTACATTATTGGAGTATTGTGACAAGGTTGTGGGGGTGCACTGGAGTACACGCTAATCACTAAGTGGACAAACTTAAATGATTTTTGAATAAATCAAAACCTCCCAAGCAAGAAACTGAACACTACTTCTAAATTTGGTTTAATTAAATAGAATCCTAAACATTTTTTATTCATCTAAATGGAGATTTGGGGGGATAGCCTATTAGTTTATTAAATCAAATCATATTCCTACAAGTGCAATAAAGTCTATATATTTATTCATTAGAATACTCTCTTGTTTGTTAGTTTGGTGTCTATTTGTAAAGTATGTTCTGTACACCACGCATTGGAAATGCAAAACTGAGGAAGAACAGTCTCTCTACCTAGGGTGCTTGTAGTATTCAGAACAAGTATTTGTTCTGAAAATAGGCACTTCTGGAATTTTTCAGTACACTGATAACTCATGGTCCTAAAGACATCTTTGCACGATCCAGAGGGGCCTTTACAACTTCATTGCTTACCGTCAGTAAACTGTCAATTCTTTAGAAATTGTCAATCCACGGACAACATGTGTGGCCATCCAGGCCAATCTAGGTAAATTATGCTTACTATAATTTGTGGGATTTTTGTTGTTGTTGTTTTACATCTCTCCCTACATGATATCAGTATATTGGAATATAGACTTCCCCTTCCTCTCATCCAATCTCACTGTTAACATTTTAAACTCAAAACAAATCTTTTAAGAAAATGAAAGCCTCAAACATGAAAAATTGGAGTTCAGATAAAATTACTACTCCTGAAAAGACCCAGAGGAAAGGAGACGTATATGATATTTAATATATATGAAACTCACCTTGAAATATCTGAATTAAAACCCACTGTCATTCAGTCCTCATAGTGCACTGCAATCAGCTGTTGAGTGGGGGATAAAAAGAGGGAGGGGAAGAAAAAGGTCTTTGCCTCCAGTACATTGTAATCAGTTTAAACTTAAATGAAATAGATGCACTGAAAAGATAGGGCTTCAATAACCCAAATGCTGCACTAGATAGGAGGTTCCATGGCAGGACCTCAGAGTGCTGTTAGCAGCAAATCATCCAGGATTCTGAAATGTAGGCACAAAATACTTTTTGAATTAAAACTGGAGTGAACTCTCTGCTATCCTTATTTGTCTGCTAATGAAAGCTTAAATAAAAACACCCTCCCCACCAGCTGCTATTATTCCTTGGATCATTATAACAGTTTTATAAGCCTAACACATAAAATTGATAATCTGCATAGGCTTATCAAACAGTAGACAGGATAGATTCAAAGTTTTATTTATATGGAATAGGTGTGATCCTAGCCCCATTGGCTAGTGGTATTTATTTCCTGACTGAGGAAAATAGTTATGCCTGCCTTGAACGGCAATCACATAATATACATCACTAAAAATGCTTGATTACCTACATATCTATTTCAACTTTGTCAGTTATGAACCTGATCTTAGCTATAATGCCTCTTGTTATCAATTCATACTCTCTTATGCGGGAATTTCTAATTCTTTAAGGAGGATAGCAAAACATTGTCTCACCCAAGCTTGTCAGCTTCTTCACAAGATTACAAAGTTGAGAGCAGCTGAGGCAAAACCGCTCTGGTATGTGATCTGTGGAATCCTTCTTATTCACAACAGGATTTTCCTATGAGGGGTCAAACACTTTCAATTGGCTTTCAAGAAACCATAAATCTAAATTAAACAAGTAGGCAACACATGACAGAGGGCCATCATTTTATGGCAGGATCCTCCAATTAGCTGTAACGGCTACAAATCAAGAAAAGGTTAAATATTTCTGAATAATTTTAGATTTTGGGAAAAGGGAAGCAAAGAACATAAAGATTGTGTTTTATGATCTCATAAATCTCTCTTGGATTAAAAAACAAAAAATCCCTGATACTTTGGGAGGTAGGGTATACTGGAAGGTATTTCTTAGCTTTAACAGGGAATAAGCTATTAAAATTTTTGAAAAGCCAGCCTAGTCTGTTGTATTCTTATTCTAATTAAGCCAGATTTGTTAAAGCATTTAATGCATATTTATGTGGAAAATATGACATCTTCCTACCTACATGAATTATTTTGAGTTTTATATTATCGATGTTGCAAAAATTATGGATTAAATGAAAAGTGATAATAATGATACTAATATAAATCTTCAACTTTGAGGGGTAATTGCTTGTATTATAAATGGCTATGAATCATACTTTTTATATGGGAAGTGGTAATCCTATGCCTTATTATTCGTTATTATGATCTCCCTCGAATTCCATAGACGTGTTTCTCTCATCCATTCCTCCAGCAGAAATTTCTAGAGCAGTACTATCCAATAGAACTTTCTGCAATGATAAAAATATTTTATTAAAATAATCTGCATGGTCCAATATGGTAGCCGCTTGTGCCTATTAACCACTTGAAATGTGGCTAGTGCGACTGAGGAATTAAATTCTTAATTTAATTTAATAAATTAAAATTTAAATACTCACATGTAGCTAGTAGCTACCATATTCAACAGCACAGTTCAGAGATACTTCACATTCTGTATTTTATTTGGAGTATGCATGAATTTACTTAAGGAAAATGTGTTTTGTTAAGATATTCCATCCTCTTCCATCCATTCATCCATCCAGTTGATCTGTACTTTTTAAGCACCCTCTGTGTATAAAGCACATGTTAAGTTTATGTAGTGGGGGAGATAATACAAGATTTGTAGATGATAATTATTATACTAAATAGGCTAAGTGACAAAGGACAGAGCAAAGTGATATGATAGTACCGAAGAATGTGAATACTTTGAGGTAACGGAATTAAGAAGAGGTTCATGAAAGAAGTAGCTCTTTAAATGTTTTTGATAAATAGCTGGAAGATGTAGGAAGAAAGATTGGGAGAGAAAGAGATTGCAAGATAAAAAAGTCTAAAGTTTAATCTGCAATGTGGGTATAAGGAAGAGGAAATAGTCCAAAGCTTTTGAAGTGTGAATGACTGAAGAAGTTAGTGCCAAGAACAGATAAGGCAAAGACAGAAGAAGAATATGTTTTATAAGAAAATGTTGAGACTAAGTAATATAATTTACTTTAATCTGAGATTTTATAAGTTACTTAATTATAAAAGTTATTTGCGATAAACTTTAATTACAAATGAGCTGAAATTGTAGCCATTAAACAAACCTTATACGTTAATTATAATTTTACTAAAGATAAATATGATCAACGTGGAAATAAGATATGCTTAAAGAGACTTCTAATAAAGGATGAGCATTAATCATCTATTTAACCTTCCATATTGGCTTCTATATTTAAAGACTAAAGTTTAGAACAACTACCGTAAGTGCAGATAAACACAAACATACATGAATTTTCTCTTACTTTCTGTATACAATTATTTGGGCAGTGCCAGATAACCTAAATTTTATTATTTTTTTTCATGTCCCAGGGGAGTGCCTTAAATACTTCAGCCACTATTACATTTTTTATTAATCTAGAAGCAAAGATCAAAATACTTTGAGAAAGTAGATAGCCTCATAATGTGATGTGGATAGCTAATCAAATGCCATAAATATAGAACCTTAGTGATAGATTTATCAATGCCCAGATCCATCACACATTCCTCTCTTTTTTTTTTTTTTTTTTTTGAGACAGAGTCTAGCTCTGTCGCCCAGGCTGGAGTGCAGTGGCATGATCTCGGCTCACTGCAACTTCCGTCTCCCGGGTTCAAGCAATTGTCCTGCCTCAGCCTCCTGAGTAGCTTGGATTACAGGCACCCGTCACCATGCCCAGCTAATTTTTGTATTTTTAGTTGAGACAGGGTTTCACCGTGTTGGCCAGGCTGGTCTCGAACTCCTGACCTCATGATTTGCCCGCCTTGGCCTCCCAAAGTGCTGGGATTACAAGCATGAGCCACTGCACCCAGCCACACATTCCTTTTGAATATACATTTATTAACAACTGTGAAATTTGAATAAAAGTTAATATTATCTACAGAGATCTTTGTTATTTTTGCTTTGCCTCTGTGGATTAACGTTTATTATTTTGACCAGAAAATCTTTCTTTGCAAAGAAAGGAAGAATTGAATAATGTTTCCATAGTTTGAGTAAATAAATTTTAAATAAATAATCAGGTATTTAATACAAATACATAATCAGAAGAGTGGGAGATAGTTAGGGTTATATCTCTGCCTTTAATAAAGACCAGTCCAATAATGGGTTAAAGTTATTTTTCTAGCTGAACCTTCATCCCTGGATCGACAGAGCTAACAGATAAGGGTGTTATTTCTTTGAAAGTAATAATGAATTCCATAAATTTTATTGAAATAAGTGTTTTTTCCCATTAATGTTTATCATAAAAAATTTTTAATTGAAAAGCTGTAATCCTTTATATTTAACATTTTGTGAACCAGTCAGATGCACTTCATGACTTAGGGGCTACAGCTATGTTAGTATTTTTTTCCTCCTAGAATGATTTATGAGGAACAAGAGGTCGTGAACCTCTTTTGAACCTATGAATACACAGTTTGCTAACATATAGATTCTAAAATTCTGAAATTTCTGATTCTAATAAAATACCTCTATGAATTTGGCCACCCAATAGAATGTTGGTGGGTGAATTAAAATACTACTTCACCAATATTTCTCTCTCTCTCTCTGTCTCCCCCCCACAGACACACACACACAAAACCATCCTCATTAGTTGATTCAAGCTTATTGATATTAATTTGTCAATTCCAGTTGCTGCCTTAGTTATTGATTCTTCCTGTTGACCTCTATTTATTTTTAATTTTTTTAGAGACACGGTTTTCGCTTTGTCACCCCGGTTGAAGTGCAGTGGCACGATCATAGCTCACTACAGCCTCCAACTCCTGGGCTTGACCAATCCTCCTACCTCAGCCTCCCAAATAGCTAGGACTACAGGCACACATGAACAGACCTGGCTATTTTTTTTTTTTTTTTGTAGAGATGAGGTCTTTCTATGTTGCCCAGGCTGGTCTCCAACTCCTATTCTCAAGCCATCCTCCCATTTTGGCCTCCCAAAACACTGGAATTATGGGCTTTCAGCCACTGTGTCCAACCCCTGTTCACCTTTATATCAATATGGTTTATGGAGATATTTCTGTTAAAAGATAAACTACTTGAATTTTGTTCAACTTAGAGTTTTATTTCACCGCCTTTCCCTGATCCTTAGAATGCATACATCTATAAGACCACATCTTTGGAATTATTTGTGGTAGAAAAACTTTATCTTTATTCAGATTTTGCAGAAACTATGAGTAAAATGTCTACTTTCTGCTGTTGTGTACATTTTGCTATGTGATGGTGTAGATACAGTCAATAAGGGAAAACCACAAGGAATATCGACACTAGCCCCTGTCAATGGTAAGAAAGTTTCTGAAGATTTTTTTGTTGTTTTTCCTGCACTGACTAAGTATGGTCAAGTACCACATTCCAGTTTGCCTGTTATCCCTCCATCATCGTAGGCCTAAGCTTAAACTCAAATTGTAACTTGCATACGCAAATTTAATTTGCATAGAACAATTGAGTTTTTCAGTGAGACTAAAATTCCCATAACCAGGGTGTCTTATTAATTGAAAAGTGATAGGAAAACTCCCACAAATGAAGTAACTGTAATTTACACTCCTTGAGAGTTATCATCTTGAGAAAAGTTTCTTTTGTAGTTTCAGATTTCTGTGGACTACAATTTTTAAACAGGTGTACTGTGAAGAATATAAGAAATCTCCACTTAGAGAATTTAAGATGTCTAAGAGAATTGTCACAACTGTGAAAGGTGAGAAGCATCAAATGCCCTTTATCCCCTTTTTAAAGAAACAACATTTTCTAGTGGATATCAAACTCTTTAAGTGGAGGTGTTTTAGCACACACAAGACATTCCTTCACTTTCATTTTTTTTTATTCTAGCAAGTTTTATTTTTGGCAGGAAAAAAATGAGTATTTCTTGCCAATTTTCAAAAATTAGCAAATCCTTAAAATATTCATTATAAATAGATCAAAACATTCAGCCACATGCTATTACAAAGGCAGTCAATTTAAATCAAGTTTGACTAGCAAACTTTCTTCTCCCACACCCACTTTTACAGTCCTGCTGATCTCCCTACTTTATAGTCCCTTATTCACATAAAATATACTAGATTATTTAAGAAAAAAGTCCTAGGCACTTCACTTATCCAGTATCACCTTCATATTAACAAATATTATTTTCTTTTTATTTGAGGTGGGTAAGCATTCTATTTATTTTGCCCTATATCTTTTTTGTCCTAATAACTTATTTTAATTTGCAACAGGCTCTCACTCTGCCACCCAGGATAGAGTGCAGTGGTGCCACCATGGCTCACTGAAGCCTCTAACTCCTCAGCTCAAGTCATACTCCCACTTCAGTTTCCCCTGTAGCTGGAATTATAGGTGCACGTGTCACTGTGAGGAGCTAATTTTTTTAAAAAAAATGTTTTTTGTAGAGACAGGGTCTCACTATGTTCCCCAGGCTGGTCTGGAACTCCTGAGCTCAAGCAAGCCCCCTGCTTTGGCCTCCCAAAGTACGAAGATTACAGGTATGAGCCACCGTGCCCAGCCTAATCACTCATTTTAGTGTGAAACTACTCTAAATACATGAAACTGATAAACACTATTGTGAATATGTTTCTATTCTAACATTAGAACCTTGGAATATTAGAAATTCCTTTTTGATATGTTACTACAAATACTGATTTTAAAAATACATGCATACACATACATGTATGTATGTATAATATATATGAGATATGCAATATCTAGATGAAAAGGGTCTAGTGTCTAGTTTAAAGAACGCCAGAAGATTGGATGATGAATTTCCCTTTAGGGAGAAACTGAATTCTGGATCTGAAACTTGTATGTTTTTTTGTATATTTCTGTGTCTTGCGGGACTAAAATGTTTCAAAATGGCTACTACATTTAAATATGTTGAAGTAAGGAATTTTTAAATAGATCACGTGAATAGAATTAGAAGTGGTTGTAGAAAGAAACTTAAATCTGATCATTATCCTTTACATTCACAAAAAAAGTCCTTTTTAGAATAAAGTGTGGTATATTCATTGTTCTTTAATATACCACAAAGGGAAAATGTAACTTCTAGGAGTCTTTTTGTCACTTCAGTTATCATAAATGGAAATGAGTATTTTTCCTGACCATTTTACTATAGGTTATATTTACCAGTTTTCCAAATTCTCTGATTATATCATGTTGAAAAATGAAAGAAGAACACTATTCTTGGATTTCTCTCTAAAACTGAGTAAAGTTCCTCTGGAAAATTATTCTTTCTAAATAGGATGAAATAATATTTATTTGGCTGTCTTTTATCATGACATTTTATCACATGCCTATTATTATATGAACCATTTTTAAACTTTCATACTTAAATTACATAAACATCTAATGGTTCAAAACTAAAATGTTTGTAAATATACAATTTAACAATAAATAATTACACGTTGAACTATACCCTCTCTGACCTAATAAAGTGATCAGTTTAAAAATACAATACCACTTTTGTCATAAAAGCAAAGAAATCCACAACTTTTATACATGTTGATTGAATAGTCATTTGCAAATGATGAAGTAACATTTATTTAAAGTAGCATGTATTTAAAAATAGAATTTCCTCAGAAATACCAGATTCCTCAGAAAAGCCAATAAATACATTACTAAAGACTGTATAAACAAAAGTTAAAATTTTAATCTAATTAATTATATTTTAAACAGTCTTTATTTTTTTCTCACTTCCTCTCCGGTTAATTAAAAATGACCAGAACCACTTGAAATATAAAACTGCCACTTCATATTTTGTGGCATTATTGTAAATAAATCATATTCTCACTGACAAAAAAAAATTTCCATTAAAATGGCATATTTTAAGGATACAATATTCTTTTAATTAACTCGATGATTTTTTAAAATGTTTAATTTTGCTAAGAGTTTGAAAAGACTTATTTGGTAAAAAGAGAGAATGTATCACAATGTTAA
Organism: Homo sapiens; assembly: GCF_000001405.40. Taxonomy (NCBI): domain Eukaryota; kingdom Metazoa; phylum Chordata; class Mammalia; order Primates; family Hominidae; genus Homo; species Homo sapiens. Next base: position 5,025,551 of record NC_000024.10, on the reverse strand, counting down.
CATTGCTTAAGCTACTAAGAAACAATATTCTTTATTTGTAGACTACTGTTGCCAGCAAGGCCACCAATACAAGAAGCATAAAACTTCCACAATTTAGCCAACAGTGGGGATTATCTCTATCCATATGTGATTGAAAAAATGTGGGAAAATTCAGTTTTCTACTCAGGCTATTTGGATTCCTGCTGCCAAGATCATATACACACTAGCAAACTCCTGCAAGTCCTAATCCTATTAAAAATATATATAAAGGAAATACAGATCCATGTTTCTGCAAATTACTATGCTGACAAATACAGTGATTCACTAAGCAGCTGGGGTCAACTTAATACAATTTCCAAAGAATGTAATCAGTTATTAGAATAATAGTAGCTACCATTTATTGAATTCTTATTACATGCCAAGAACTGTGATAAGTGCATTTAATACAGCAGTCTTATGATACATGCACTGTTATTGTGACTTCCGTTTACATATGAGGGAATTGAGACTCTAAAAGTTTCAATAACTTGCCCAAGGTCACAGACCTATTAAGGTATACAACTAAAATTTGAAAGAAGATTTATATGAGTCGAAAGCTTAAGCTCTTAGCTACTACACAGACTTTAAACAATACAAAATATGTTTTTTTTCACTTACACTAACCTAAATAAAACTTAGTAAAGTTTTGGAATCAGAATCTAGATTGTAATTATTAAGGACATCACCCAAAAAAGAGCTCTTCTGTTTGAAATCCGAGTTTAGAAAAAAAAATGAAAAAGATAACTGATGGCAAATGGTTTTAATTTACCTTTTTCTCAGGAATCAAATTTTGCAAAATTTCTGATAATGGGATAAACAATTATACGGAGGCTTCATTCCGTATGTTTCTATAATCCATATTAAATTGCAGACACAATAAATCTGCAGAAACAAAAAATGCTAACATTTGATCCAAATGCCTATCTTATTAGAAAAATGCGTATTCATTCAATAAGTAATTGAATAGGAAAATAGATTTACTTGATGCTACATTTAATTGAAATTTATGTTGCATAATTGGGTAATTTGTACTGAGGCATTAATAGAACTGTGTTTCATTTTTCAGGAACTCATATTAACATTAAATCAGAAGTCTCAACTTTATAAACTGACTTTCATTTTATCTTAGCCAAAAGGCTGAGAAGTGATCAAATCTCACTTCCTCCAGAAGTATGCATTATTCATAAAGACTTCTCCAACACTAATTTTTACTTAAGACTAAGTAATTGTCCGGACAAATCTGCAGATGTGAGGAGAAATTCAGAAGATAGTTCCACCGATAATTATGATTTTCTCTGTTTCAGTACATCTGAACTGTGACCTTTGTTTACTGGTTGAAATAGATAAAATTGCTGATATTTAACCAATTTTGACCTGAAAAATAGAAATTTCATGTAGTCCGACATCATATATTCTATATAGATATTTAGTCAGACTTTCCACTAATATGCAATTCTCCATACAAATCACTACATCAATAAGTAAAGATTTATTCCAAATATCTGGGAAAAGCACAAAACTAAATGTGCAGGAAAAATTATTTCATGCAGGTGGGCATTAATAAATATATGGAAATTATCAGAATGTGTGGGCCTTCTTAATAATGTAACTTTAATATGGGGTGAGGAGTAGGATGTTTAAATATGCAAAGATAAATTTCTTATTTGAGAGCTGTTAAAAGCACAGCAGACAAGACAATGTGTGGTGGTGAGAAGCAGGAAACAGGGGATCCAAAAAGGTGTATTTTAGTCAACAGAATTAATTGATCTAAATTATGTGCAGCATACTGTACTAGCATAGGTAACCATAACTGTGAAGAAAAAATGACAAAAGACACACAAATATGAGCTGAGAGAGAATCCTTTTCTAGTATCTACATAAAGAAAATTGCCCAAATTTAATTTGAAAGATTTCCACTGAGGGGGAACACAGATTGCCAACAACAACTTAGATAGACATGTTACTCCATCTCTTCTAATGTGTGCATGCAGATGCATGTGTATGATTGTCAGCATTGCTCCTTAAACATATAGAATGCTATGAAGGACAGGAAGAGAATCTGCCCCACTTGCCATAAGGGCAGTTTCCTGAATTATTTCAGTGAAGCATTTTCTCTCGAGACCAATTCTTCAAGAAAGTGCATTAATAATGCATCAGTGTGCTTTCAAATCAATCAGGATTTTATTGTTTCATTTAAATAAAGTTATTTAATATATGTTGGCCTTTCAGACTCTTGCCTCTCCTAAGCATCTTTCACATATACTGTCATCTAAGTGTGACTGGGAGTCATATGTAACACCTGGAGGACTGATAACAAATGCCATTTTTAACACATTCTGAGAGCTTGATATTTGGAGTCTATGATGAATTCATTTACACAATGAAGAATCTTTCTGCAAAACAAATCATTAGTAACTAATACTGCATTCATATCATGTATAATTTCAGCTTTAATGTGAAAATATTTCTGGTTTTAAAATATGTAATTTATCTATATGAATTCACTTTGTGTATAAAGTGTTTTAAAGTGTTTATATCACTCCAAAAATATAACTTTCACTAATGAAAGAAAAGTTTACCTTATTCTGGAAAATCATGCTTGGCTATTTCCTTCCCCTTGAATATAATCAAAGGCAATCTACTACTTCCATGCAAATGTTTTTCAAACAGTTTCTGTTGAAGAAATCTCCATTATTCAGGCACAATATGCAGCCGATGTTACCTTTTGTCTGCATTATGACTCAAGACCCTCTTTTTTGTTGACTAACAAAGGCAGAAAATGAATACTGCTGTTTAAAATCCTTTATGTTTCCTTTTAAATTCTTTTGAGTTGAATAAGTAACTGCCCTTCTTATTTAAATCATTTTACTTGAAGCCTAGATGGGATAATAAACTCTTTTTTTTTTTTTTTTTTGAGACAGGGTCTTGTTCTGTTGCCCAGGCTGGAGTGCAGTGGCATGATCATGGTTCACTGCAGCCTCCACCTCCCAGGCTCAAGTAATCCTCCCACCTCAGCCTCCAGAGTACCTTGGTCTACAGCCGCATGCCACCACACCTGGCTAATTTTTTTTTATTTTTGGTAGAGATGAGGTTTCATCATGTTGCCCAGGCTGGTCTGGAAATCCTGGGCTCAAGCTCTCTGCCCCACTCCACCTCCCAAAATACTGGGATTACAGGCCCAGGGCGCCCAGCAATAAACCTTTTTTTAAAAAACAGCATTTCTATGTTTTAAGTAAAAATGAATAACTTTTGAATGTAAAATAAATATCCCTAATATTAAATGTAAGCCATCAAGTATCTTAACATGAATGATCAACTGAATATATTTATTACAGGGTTAATTTGCCTTTGGTTTTGCCTTTTTTCCAAAGTCAATGATAGCAGTAGAAAGGGTCTAAATTTTCAAAAGAAAGCAATTGCTACCTCACCTGCTGAGTGGAAACAACCAAAACTAGGTACATGAACATTAACTTAGACATAGAAAATCATTTTAATTACAGCAAAATAATCTATTATGTATCATGTTTGTTCCAAACGCTAAGAAAAAATATCCATAGTTTTCTGTGTTAATTTTGTCAGACAACATTTAGATATACAGTACATCAAAGCCTTATTCTCCTAGGCATATATCCTTTTACTGTGCATCTCCAAGACAATTGAGGGCTAAAGTCAGAGTATGGGGCAAGCAGTTGCCTTAAAGAGCCAAAGCACATATTCCTAATTGTACGTTTTGTTTTTACTTTTAGACAAAGAGATGCTTAAAAACAGAATAATAAAGGAGATTTTCAAACTGATTATTTTTTGACATAGAGGCCTACTTGTAGAAGAATGGAAGTAGAAAACAGAGTGAACTGCAGTAAAATATTTAATCTTTCAACAACTTACTTTATGAAGAAAGAGTAGTGAAAATTCAATGGAAGAAGGAAAAAAGAGAGTAGAAGGAAAAGAGAAAGTGGAGAGAAAATGGAAGAGTGTGAAAATTGTTATGTAAAAATATTTTCTTTTTGAGACAGAATCTCTCTCTGGCGCCCAGGCTGGAATGCAGTGTCGCGGTCTCGGCTCACTGCAACCTCCGCCTCCCGTGTTCAAGCGATTCTTGTGCCTCAGCCTCCCGAGTACGTGGGATTATAGGCGTGTGCCACCTCGCCCGGATGATTTTTGTATTTTTAATAGAGACGGCGTTATGCCATGTTGGCCAGGCTGATTTCGAACTCCTGGCCTCAAGCGATCCACTCACCTCGGCCTCCCAAAGTGCTGGGATCAATTACAGGCGGGAGCCACCGCAACCAGCCACAAAAACCTTAATGAGGTATCAGTTGAAACTCCCTACTATCAGTTCAATCTCCCTACTATCAGTTCAATCTCCCTACTATGTGAACCTGGCAACTTTCTCGGACCTTTTAACTCCCCTAACCTGGAATGCTGTAGGGTGTACTAAAGGAGTCAAAATGCTACTAGTGTCAAAGCAATAAAAGATATTTGGAATTGATTCTGTAAATGAAACCTTAAATGATCTAGTTTGTTATTCCTTGATTAGTATACACGATAAATGCAAAATTTTTATTTAGGAACATATGTATAATGATTATATTGCCATTTGTCTAAGCAAGAATATATGGACATATGTATCCACCTATGCCTCTCCATAAATACTAATGTCTAATATATGAATAATAGACATATATCTTTATAAGTGCACTTGCAAAATGTGTAGAAAATATACAACTCTGTTATGTGGCATCTCATCTGGTTTTATAAGTTATATGTAACACCTAATTTAAAAAACTTATTTATTTACTTATGAACACATATCATTGTTCAGTGTTTATGATAATTTATGAATATAAATGTTTAACATCTAGAGCCTCACACCTTTCAGTTCTACTCTGAATAATACATTTTTATTCAAGTTTTATCACTCATTTGCACAGTCAGACAAATTGTTAAAGAGTCATTATTTTTATTTCACAACCAGGAAACTCAGTAGTTTTGCAGAAATTCATAGTAAATCAAGTGAAAGGCCAGAAATCTACTTTCTTTTGTGAATCTTTAAACAACCTTATCAAGCTCATTTATATCATATATCACATTATACCAAAAAAATGCGTTTTACTGTTCATAGCAAACAGTCTCTTAGTAATCATCTCACACTCACTCTTGTGAGCCTAGTACAATTCCTCAATAGACATGTGGTCTTTTACTTAACAGAATTATGTATGTTTGTGATTTATTATTAATTGAAGGATAACAGAAATTTTATCTATAGATACACTTTTTTTAATGTCAGTGAAAAAAAAGATTTGTGTTTAGGAGGTCATGGATTTAGTTAAAACCTCTATTCAACTTTGTGGAATATCCTAAAATTTTAATTTCAATTATGCATGTATGAGTTTTTTCAAGAGATAATTCTGGAAAATAGAAAATATGGAGTAGGTAAAAAATAAGCTATTCAAAATCTCTGGTGAAGGGGTAGGGTTTCATTAAGTATTAACTGATGATATATGATAAGGAAAACAGAATAAATGTGACCTAAGTCTTCATTTCTAAAAGTATATTTTGAATATAAACATTTTATGATTTATTATATAATTTCAGAAATTATGTATATTATATATATTAAAGGAAGAAATAATCCATGTCTGAGTAAAATACATTCCAACAAGAAATGAGTTCTTACAACCTCACTGCTATCTAGTGGTATTATATCCTAACAGCAGGAAGACAACCTAAGTCCTACAAAAATAGGTTGTTTTCTGTGAAAAGTAGAATTTTCAAGTAACAAAGTGATACTGAATATTAGCAAGAGAAACATAGTTTCTAAGCATTATTAAAAACAAATTTCTATTTGTCTAGATCCACTTTGAAGGCCATTGTGTATCATATATTTGTAAAAGTATCTGTGTACTTATATTTTAGGAAAGTGATTCTACTGATTTTTTTTTTTTTTTTTTTTTTTTTTTTTGAGACGGAGTCTTACTTTGTCGCCCAGGCTGGAGTGCAGTGGCACAATCTCGGCTCACTGCAACCTCTGCCTCCCTGGTTCAAGTGATCCTCCTACCTCAGCCTCCTGAGTAGCTGGGATTACAGGCGCCCGCCATCATGCCTGGTTAATTTTTGTATTTTTAGTAGAGATGGGGTTTCACCATGTTGGCCTGGTTGGTCTCGAACTCCTGACCTCAGGTGATCCACCTGCCTCGGCCTACCAAAGTGCTGGGATTACAGGCGTGAGCCAACACGCCCAGCCCGTAACACTGTGTTTTAACCCCCGAGGGGAACACCGTTCTTGGAGGTACTGCAATACCAGGTCAATGTGTGGAGTGGACAGAGCATGCTCCTATTCCATCTCCCTGCTCCAAAAATCCATGTAATATATTGTCCTCGGACAGAGGATACATCAGATATTAAACTGATAGGAACAGATACTACACTCTATCTTAGCCAAAAGGCTGAGAAGTGATGCTGATTCTTTTCTTTTTTTCAAGTTTTTAAAATATCAAGTTAAGAAAAAAAGTATAAAGCTTAGCTACTAGAATGAAAGTCTAGTTGGGCAAATTTCTACCATGCTGTTTCCTTGTCTGTACTTATCAAGCAAATGCATCTGTGTTCATCTATGTTTTTGTCTGTACTTCATTTGCATCATTATTGCATGATAATAGTTTTGAAGAAAATAAATCCAAGAGAAGATATTTTAAATTTTGACTGACTTCTGATCAATATCTTTGACTCATAATATTCCATTCTGACTAAATACCCTAAGGATATGATTAAAGAATAAGGAATTGCTGCATTTTAATTGTCTTAAGTAGAAATATAGAGTGAGTTTTTTGGACAATAAGGCTAATGTCCACATAAAAATAAAACCAGCAGTTAATTTGGAAGAAAATCAGTTAAAATAATTGATTGATTCAACTAGATGTATTATGCAGATGGATTATAAATAAACTCAATTCTCCCTTCACAGTTCAAACAAATGTTATTTAGTTATTTAATGCTGAGAGACATTTTATCCCTCCAGTATTTATCTCAGTATTATGAGTCAGGATTTCTGAACAGAGACTAGAATTGAAAGTTCTTATTTTAACTTGAGATTGTCCAAGCAAATCCATTAAAAATCAAAACTGTACATGCCTCTAGATCAAATCTGTCAAATTTCTAATACAAGTGAAACAAAAATGCAATCATCTTTGATGAGAAAGATCACAAGCCATCTATAATTTTAATTTGCTTAAACTCATTATATAATCTACAACAAAAGTAGAATTATCAAAGGAGAAAATCTAGTTTTAAATTAGACACTTAAAGTGTGTGTGTTCACATTCACCAGGCTGTTACTGAATTGTTAACGACAGGCAATTTTATAGGTAGAATATTTCTCCTACAATTAAGCTGTCCAGAAGAAAGAAGAAAAACCTTAATATTCAGTTTAACTGATGTACTTTTATGTTTCCTCAAGGCACGGTGTTCTGCACTCCTAACACAGTTAATAAAGCTGAGAAATGGATATAATATAAAACATTTATCTAAAAAGAAATTGAAAAGTTTATGTGCATAGTAATTATTAATATAGTTAAATGATATTTCAAAATATAAACAAAAATACATTTATATTTCGCATTCTGGTTAAAAATCTGGACTGTGAAGTGAAAAAGATGTGAGTGTGATCCCTGATGTGGCCATTTACTGTCTTTGTACATTTAGGCAAGTCTCAATTTCTATATTCATACCATGGAAATAATTAGACTACCTCCTGCTTCACAGAGGCACAGAAGTAGACATCTAAGATATAGATAACTAAGGATAAATTTGTACCAACTACATATATAATGATTATCCAGTATGCAAAATGTAATTATTTTGGTAAATTTGGCATTGGTATTTTAACCATAATCTTTGGTTCAAAATGAACTTGGGTTTTTCAGTTATTTGAACTTGTTACTTTTAATAATCAGTTTATCAAGTCAGCTATATCTAGAAGAGATAAGAAAATGATATTGACAATTTTTCTGCCCTTTTAGTCCTTTAACAGTTTCCAACTTTACTTGTTTGTCTTCAGTAGCTTCTGAATCAAGGAGATTCTTTCTCATTGAATTTTTTCACCACATTACTAAAATTTCAAAATTTATCTATATAGTAGTTTCAAATAGTTATGCAATTAAAAAAACTACACCTAAAATTTTCTCTGAAAATTAAAGATGTTCAAATTATTTCTTAAAAGAATTTACTCTAAAAATGTATACTATGCAGTAAGAATACATGGCTCTGGTAGAAAAGAACACACAAAAAATTAATAGACCAATAACTATGTTAGATCAAATGCTGTCTGTTCACAAGGAAAATCTTTTACATTTTGGAAAAAAAAGATAGCTATGTAAGATAAATTTTCATTCAAACAAATATAACAAGACTAAAATATAACTGAGGTTGCTGGCTTTTATACTACTTCCTTGCACTTAACCAAACTTGTTAATTTATGTTTTGAGAACAGCATGACCTTTAAAGGTATGTTTGCTGAAGAATAGTTTACAACTCCATTCCATTAATCTATTAAAAGTCTAATGTGTTAGACATTTTTAGCAATAGAGCAAACACCTTTAAAATATTTAAAATGGGGCAAATATTTATTTTTCTGTAAATAAGCAAAACATAAGTTCCATAAATTGGATGATTGGTATTGTTTATGGAACATTAAAACTTTACCTTAATGTATTTTGGGGTCTTAAGTCATAGGGACCTGCTACAAAAATTAAGATGACTATAAAACTGTTCTTACAGTATTTCTGCAAAACAAACTTCTTGGATTCAAGAGAGATCTAAGTTGCAGTAAGGTATTATAGTGATATTTCCGTAAAATTTAAAGTTTAAATTGTAGCATAAAACCTCATGTAGGAGACGTCCCTAACATTCAAGAAGGTAAATGTTATAACATATGTAACATTGCTTTATAAAATTTAAGTTTCATTCAGAAAATTAGTTAATGAGTTAGTATTTTTATGTCTTTAATTTGTTGAAAAAGAGTCACCGTTTTACTATTTAACACACATTAGTTTGGTATTTACCATTCAAATCTATAACCAAAACTAGTTTTAACACTGGACTATTTTGGGCTATATGATCATTATACATGTGATTTAAAAAAATGTACATAAGCCCTTTTACTGTGGTGAAAGATGTGACAGGACAATATAGTGAAAAGCACACTGACCAAGCAGACCTAAATTCTATTTCAGACTGCCACTAAGTTGCTTTTGTGACCTTGGGCAAGTCACTTCAAAGGGAATGGAACCTTCTGGAAAACACACGTTAAGTCAGTAGGTGTAACTGTTCATAGCTCATAGTTAAACAGTATTTGTGTTTTAAGTTACTTCCAAAAGAGCACAAGTTATGCACAAAGACAAAAAAATATCAGAAATGACCTTCTGTATCAGTCTGTTTTCACATTGCTGATAAAGATATACCCAAGACTGGGCAATTTACAAAGGAAAGAGGTTTAATGGAGAACTCACAGTTCCACGTAGCTGGGGAAGCCTCACAATCATGGCAGATGGCAAGGAGGAGCCAGTCACATCTTATATAGATGGCAGCAGGCAAAGAAAGAGGTTGTGCAGAGAAACTCCCATTTTTAAAACCATCAGATATCATGATACCCATTCACTATCATGAGAACAGCATAGAAAAACCCGCCCCTATGATTCAATCATCCCCAACCAGGTCCCTCCCACAACACGTGGGAATTATAGGAGCTACAAGCTGAGATTTGGGTGGGGACACAGAGCCAAACCATATCACCTTCCTAAGTAAAAACAGGAAAATCAAATAAACTAGAAATTCCAGGTTATTATAGAATGCCTAGGGACATGCATTTCACTACAATAATTCCTACTTTCTTCATTTGGAGCCACTAATAATGAGAACAGAATGAATACCCCAACAGCAAACAAGTATATTTTCATCAAAACGTTGCTAGTCATGATTTACCTCAGTGTATTGCTAATTCAGTAGAATCTGAATATCTCATCACAATTTGTATTTTTTTCTGCAAAGAAATGTTATCCCTAACCTAGATTCTATATCTGAGAAACATTTCCTCTCTTTTCCTTCCTTTATTAAAAATCTCAAATCACTACATAATTCCTAGGTTAAATTATCTACCACCAGTAACTCAGTCTACATGGCAATGGTGAAAAGCTCATGGAATCTTAAGTTACTCCTAACTAAATTGACGATGACTTTAGGCAAGCCATTTAGCTAATCTGGACTAGTAGCTCAATTCTTCATTTGAAAAACAGAAATGGACAAAAGAAAGGGAGGCTAAAAATGTCTGCTCCAGCTAATCCGCAGGGTTGTTTGAAGTGTTAAATGGTTATATGTAAAGGCTTCTTTCAAGAAAACATTCACGAATAAATATCACCTTTATGTAGAACTGTAGTTTTAAGGAAACTTTACAAAAAGGATAGTGTTTTTCTTATATTCGGTGGCACTTCAGCACAATATGTGTCATCATTTATATTTTTAAGTCTACTAATTAACTCATGGTATTCACTAAAGAAACTAAACAGGGTTTGCTTCTCTAACAGCAAAATATATTTTTGTAATAGTTTCTAATAATCTAGTTCTTCCAATGGAAAACAAAGTATGAGCTCAGTGGATAAACCTATTCACCCCACATGGTTAACTACTATTACAGAACTCTATTACGGAAATGCTTGAATGTAATTCAAATAAAATTAGAAACTTGAAACCTACCAAAGTTCTGTGATCAAGCATTACCAGTACTTAGCCAGAGTAATACACCTTAGTGTATTATTAACAGTCTATATCTGAGCCAACCCATAGCCATAATTTTCCTTTTTGCTCCCAAATACTCTCCCTCTAGACCTATTATTTCAAATATTTTTATCTTCACAGAGAAGACAATCCTTTGAAGTTTGACTCTGGTTTCCGAAATTATTTGAAAATAGAACCAAATCCTAACTTGTTTTCCAACTTAGTATTCCTTTCTTGTTCAATCTGATAACATCCTTATTTCCTAGTCCACTATTGACTACTGTATAATTGTATAGTTATGTTAATACATGTTTTAAATTACTAAAGCCAGGGATATTACAATAGTTTTGCCGAATAAGATTCAATAAGTGCTCACTGAAACTCTGTAGTACAAATTTAAAACTTCTAAAAAAGTAAATATAATATATTCTAAATTGTTATTTAATATATATCCTTAATTATATTTGAACCTAATAAATTGGTGCATATATTAGCTGATAAAACAAATATTATTCCAGGGATAAGAACAAGGATCTATTATTGTCTCTGACACCTAAAAGGTATGTGATTTTAAGAATAGAAAAATTTGTCTTGCCTCTTTCCTCATATGTTAAAAATATATAATATATGCAATACCTGTTTCACAGAACTGTTGTGAGATTCAGATGAAAAAAAATCTGCCAGAGTACCCTAAAATGCAATGAAAGCAATTTAAAAGTGATAATGTAATTATTTACATAGTAAAATCTGTGATATTAGTGATATTGCTTTTAGTAGTTACTGCAAAGTGCTATTTCCAGTATTTTGTTTAGTTTTTGTGTTAAGTTTCATGATAAATCTGCTTTGATTTTTAGTTTACCTGTTTCAAAAACTTAGTAGTTTCAGTTACAACCAAAGCATGTTCTTGGGTGATCTATTAATGGGAAAACCCACAATTATTTTTGCTTCGACCTAATAGTTGCTATCATTGGCATAGGATATAAAAATATAAAAAGTGTAATGATATTGTAAAGGAAATACTGTATATCATGTTCTCAAAGTGTCTTCCATTTCTCTGAATCATGATGCTTATTTGAGTTGTCAGTCCTTATCCTGGAACCTAATTGTAACTGAGAATTGTAATTTTTTTTCTAATGAATATAATTAATCCATTTCCTTTAAAGTTCTTACTAATTCTTTTGTGATCCTATCATATTATTAGCAATTGTAAGTACTTAGACATTTAGTATGTATTATACAGTATTGTCTTCTGGCTAATATTGCTCAACCTTCACTGCCATCTCTTTAAAATCTATTCTTCAAGTCTGTGATTTATGATTAAAATTTCATCCAGTTATGTAATATTTTCCTGTAATTAAACTCATTCTAAGATCTACTCAAATTGATTCTGAAGCTGGAAATATAAATGACTTAAAGTTATGAAACTGAATTGGAATAGTCTGACATCATTATTTTGTTTAATATTTTGAACCATTCTAATATTTGCTGGATCAGGCCAAGAAATTATTTCATATTTTTTCCAGTTATGAGTCTGAGATAGTCTGATTTTTGGCATGTATTTAATTACATATGATTTTTTATTTTAATGCCATTGTAAATTAACTCAATTGTTTCTCATTGTCTTAAAACATGAGGCCGGGCGCGGTGGCTCACGCCTGTAATCCCAGTACTTTGGGAGGCCGAGGTGGGCGGATCACGAGGTCAGGAGATCGAGAACACGGTGAAACCCCCTCTCTACTAAAAATACAAAAAGTTAGCCAGGCGCAGTGGCGGGCGCCTGTAGTCCCAGCTACTCGGGAGGCTGAGGCAGGAGAATGGCGTGAACCCGGGAGGCGGAGCTTGCAGTGAGCCGAGATCACACCACTGCACTCCAGCCTGGGCGACAGAGCGAGACTCCATCTAAAAAAAAAAAAAAAAATGAACTGATCGTGTTCATAGAACTGATATTTCTATTTACCATAGAGTAAGTTTTCTTCTCTATTCTTTGATAATAGAGTATGAAGATGTTTTGCTATCTGTTTATTTTGTCTTGATTCTTATATTTCTTTTCCTTTTTGTATATTTTGGATTTTCCCTCTCAAAAAAAAAAAAAAAAAAAAAACCCTAAAATGATATAGGGTATTTTGGCTGCTATACGTGCCCCATTAGGTACATGGAAACAGTCTATGCTTAAATGGTATGGTTTGGATTCGGGTCCCTACCCAAATCTCAGGTCCAGTTTTAATCCCCAGTGTTGAAGGAGGGGCCTGGTGGAAGGTGATAGGATCATGGGGGTGGATTTTCCCCTTGCTGTTCTTGTGATAGTGAGTGAGTTCTCACGAGTTCTGGTTGTTTAAAAGTGTGTGGCACCTGCACCTGCTCCGTCTTCCTCCTGCTTTGGCCATATAAGACGTGACTCCTTCCTCTTAGCCTTCTGCCATGATTGTCAGTTTCCTGAGGCCTCCCCTAGCCATGCTTCCTATACAGCCTGTAGAACTGTGAGTCAGTTAAACCTTTTTTCTTTATAAATTACCCAGTCTCAGGTAGTTCTTTATAGCAATGCAAGAACAGACCAATACAGAAAACTGTTAGCAAGATTGGGGTTCATACCCACGTGGGCGCTAGCTTAACATTATTAAGTAATGTTAAGAGTAATGAAATCCAAGGCAATTTTGGCAGACACTCAAGTTCATTTAGCACTTACAAGAACATTTTAATCCAATTGGCCCTTTATCTCACTGAGATCCTCAAATTATTACCACTAAACAGACTTTGCTGTTCCTGTAAGTATCAGAGCTTAGAAAAGACTAGTACAGTTTCATCGGGAAGGTGATGGCTTCTGAATCTCAATGGTACAATTAAGACATGAATTCCAACGCTGAAGTGAAAACTTTCAGTTGTTTTCCTAACCCTGCTAGAACTATACCGTGTCTCCTAGCAAGCACAATTTAAACATTTACACTTATTTCAATGGTTGCTTTCAATGTCATGTGTTTTAACTTGATACTGTTTCTGAGCTGCACATAAAGAAATGAGAACTATGAAAGTTTTCCTAAACTAATAATGAATGAAAGTTTCACTTAGATTAAGTGACTATTCGGCTGTATTCTAAGATAAAAGTCTAGTTGTGAGGAAAGTGGTTAGCATGGTGTCTAATTTACCTTTGTTCCCACTTTGAGGACTTTTATTTTGAGACAGCAAATACAAAATAATCTCTACCAAGTGTCTTTCGTTGTTGCTGTTGTTGTTCTGCAAAATGTGACTAATAAGAAAATAAAAAGAAGTTCTTCAAATTAGGTAAATGAAAATCTAATTGGATATTCCACTCTAAAATCTGAATGATTAGCTGATATGTTCAATTCTGATATTTTACAAACCAATATCTTTAGGGGTCTATACTATACTAAGACTTCTCACAGCTTTTGGATTTCTTTAAAAAGATTTTAAGATATTGGTACACCATTGACACTGTATGACGAATGGTTTTCATTTTTGAAATGGTATAATCGTATGTACAAAGTGTCCATGAAATAGATTTGACTGCAAAATGGACAAGCAACTGGTTGTTATTCTGAACTACAGTTTCAACCAATATAGTCACACCAAAGGTTAAAATCAAATTTAACCTCTAAATGCAAATAATTGTAAATCTAGTTGAATTTAAAACTTTCATCCATTGCACATACCTAAATTGTTTCTTTTTTCTTTTAAGAAATCCTGTTACCCTTGGCTTACTTCATCTTTATCATGCTTGTTTACCAGACTATGGATCAGCGCCTTTTGGATAACTGTAGTTTGAGGGGCAGCAGCTTCCATGTGTACAGGGAGCTTGTTAGAAATGCAGAATTTCAGCCTCACCTAGAATCTACTGAATCAGAATCTGCATTTTAACATTTCTAGATGATCTGTCTGCACATTATAGTTTGAGAAGCACAGGAATAGAATGTAATTTCCTAGAAACTGGAGTTTAAAATAACAAGTCGTTAGCAGTGATGCTGATTGATTAGTAATTGTATATTGGTTCTATTTCTTTCTAAAGTGTTTTGATTCTGTTATATATGCCAGCTATCCAAGTTTTGAACATTAGCCTTATATTCCCATATCTGTTTACTCCTGTATGCAGTTCTGAGGCATTCAGAATGTCTGTGACTTTCAGTGAATTCAAATGCTCTTTCTTAAGTAATCCTGCTTTGCACTCATGGCCATTATAAAATGGCCAGCACATATTGTAACTGCTTTATTTTATGGATGCTAAAACTGAATTCATGGACTAAGAAAGGCTGCAGACAAGGAAAGCTTTAAGAACTGTGGAGGCAGACTGAAGGGTAAAACGTCACTGACAAACTGAGCAAATTCTTTCCCGATCTAAAAAGAAAGGCAAAGGAAATTCTGCCTGAGGAGCTCTCATGTAAAGGTTTTGTCCTGTTTGTGTGTTTGGTGTGTGTATTACCTATTCTTAAGCCTCTCTTTAAAAAAATTTAATGTATTCATGTTTTGGAAGATTTTGATTCTCACAACCTAGCAAACAACCATCAAATAACAATTAAGGTATTCTTTTTTCTTTTTCTTTTTTTTTTTTTTTTTTGAGACGGAGTCCTGCTCTGTCGCCAGCCTGGAGTGTAGTGGCGCGATCTCGGCTCACTGCAATCTCCGCCTCGCGGGTTCAAGGGATTCTCCTGCCTCAGCCTCCCGAGTAGCTGGGAGTACAGGCGCGCAGCAAGACGCCCAGCTAATTTTTGTAATTTTTTTTAGTAGAGACGGGGTTTCACCATGTTGGCCAGGATGGCCTCGATCTCTTGACCTCATGACCTACCCGCCTCAGCCTCCCAAAGTGCTGGGATTACAGGCGTGAGCCGCTGAGACCAGCCAACACTTAAGGTATTCTAAATATATAATATGAGAAGTAAAAGAGACAAGCTATCCAAGGCAGTTTCAAAAAGCTTCCATATTTCACACTGAAGAGAAAATCAGGCCCTATCATCCAACGCTCTGGTAGTTCTCTTTCTTCTCTATTTGATTTCCTTTCTCCTCCCCTCTTCCTCTGTCACAAAGTAAAATAAAGCAGTCTACGATTACTCAGGAAAGAAGGGAAAGCTTTGCTTTGGCATAATTTTCCTGCCTACGTTTGCCTGACCCATACTCCCTAACAAACGCACATATGCCCTGGCATAGAGAATGAGATTATGTAGCAAACATCAAATTTTAGAGAATGCACTCAAAATCTTCCCCAGATTATATTTAAAACTTAAAGGAAATGTGTACTTAACTATTTAGAGTAAATATGCATTTATAAAAATAAAACCATCCTTCCAGGAATGTATATTTCTAGCCATTTTAAGTAAATGGGCTTTTCCAGTCATTTTTTTAAAAAAATAAAATAATGCATTGATACTTGAATCCATTCACTTGTTTTCCATATCAAAACATCATTTTTTATGTTTTATAACATAATATGCACAATACAGGTGCTTTTAATAATCTCTATTCAATACAAAATTTGGGAAACAGTATTTTCTAGATCTGAGTCAGAGTGGGAAATTGTTTACTGCAACAAAAAACAAACAAGTTTTGGATACATTTAACTTTCTGATAAGATACTATTATTAAATTTGAGCAAAGGTAATTAAAAAGCCCTACATGATGGTGTTTTAAAATTCTAAACACGTTGGAAAGCAGGGAACAAGTATGTTTGTGGAATAAATTAATTCATGCTATCACCCAATACCTTACATGAACTCCTGTAGCACTCATATCTCATCTCTGAGCCTTCCTTTTCTTATCTGTAAAATGAGGGGTTTGGACTAAATTATCTTTCCGGTCCCTTCCACTTTCAGAGTCTATAAAACCTGCACTATACTTGGTGTACTGTAATGTAGAGTGACAACGAATATTTGTTGAATTCAATTTAATGTGACTATATATTACTTTGTTGTTGTTGTTGTTCATTGTTTTAGCCCTATTAGAATATAAGCTTTTCAAAGACAGAACTCTCCAAAATTTCTTTAAGGGCCACCCTTAACATTTAAAGTATTGCAATGCTGGACAAGCCATAGGTTTTTAGTTATTGATGGTTAATGAATCAATACAGTCAAATTGATAATACGTGCAGAGCCAAGGGACAAGGAAAGAATGTCCTAGATGTCTACTGCTTTTTGTAAAATATCACAGGATTTTTTTTTCCCTTTGCAAAGGGCCTTGAAGTAACTTACAATTCCTTCATTTTACTTTTGGGGAAATTGAAGTCCAGGGAGGTGAAGGTTTTTGCCCAAGGTCACTCTCTAGACACTAATAAAACATAAATCATAAAAGACCTTGTGTTCACACAATTTAAATAAACCCCTGCTCTCACTGTACCTGAAATGAGTTTGTAATCTGAAGACAACAAACAACGATTTGAATTTTGGGGGCTTAATATCCTTTCGGTTGATATGATACAAACCCACACTCAACTGATTACCAAAGATATGTTGCTTCCAAAATGTCATGTCAGGAAAAAAAACACTACCTAAAAATCATTGGCAAACATCCCCTAAAATAAATCTTATGTAAAAATACAGGTGTTCTAAAAAAATGACAGTAGGATAGTAGGATATAGGACTAAACATTTGCTACATTAAGTAAACTCAAACTTTAGGGACTGTCATTATGATGGGTCATAATTTAAATTATTTTTGTAAACAAAATGGAAGAAGCATATAAGCATGTACTGTTAACATTTCAATAGTTCTACCATTTTATTTAATATCATATAATGTTTACAAAGCTTAGTGCAAAAAGACACTAAATAGGAGAATATAATGCTAGTAGAAAATTAACTGAAAAACTTATTTTAATATATTTGAATATACTTGTCTTTGAAATTTTATTTTTTAATCCAAGACACATAGATTTTTGCTTTTTACATTCAGAACTTTGACAACATATACTCAAAAATAAAAAAGAGGCAAGAAGGGATGTTGGGAAAAGACCTGGCTTGGAGACTAAAGACCATCAATCCTCTTGAAGCTTCCCCTCTTAATTCTGGAAATTCTTAGGGAGCTGATTTCATCAGCGGGAACTTCAGTCTCCCCATTGACAAAATGGGTATAACCATGCCTTCTTTTTCTACTCAAAAAATTTTTATGATCCTAATATAACTTTTTAAATGATATAAAAATATAAAATACTATACATATTGAAGGAGTTAAAGAATGAATCAAAATAAAGGTGACAGAAAACAATCTTTTAATTTCATTTTATGTGATGATAGTAACTGAATTATATAATTAGCTAAAATCTCAATTTGCACTCTAATCACTTAAGGATTTTTAAAAGAAATGAATTTTCCTTTAGTTTAATTAAAATCCATCAGCAAATTAATTTTATCATTGTCATGCTAAAAGTTATATTAGATTATTAAAACAGTTTTTATTGAACAGAGAAATATATTCTTCCAGAATTTATTCTCTCCTTTCATTTATCTTTCCTCCTATTTACCCAAATCTACACGTTCAAGATGAGCAGATTAGGTGTACAAAAATCATTCTTTCAGATTTGGGCTGGAAACAAAAATTGTAGCCACTGATGTTCTTTGTCTTAAAATGTATTATATTAATCCAGTGCATAACACATTAGAGACAATTAAAAGGGCAGTTTAAATCCTTGAACAGTTGAGGATTTTTAGATTGCAAAAGGATAACAGGTACATCTATAATTTCTGGCAAACTACTCCTCAAATTCAAAACAGTAATTGAAAAATACTCTTTTTCCCACGTTTTGGTGCTGTTTGATAATGAGAATGCAGTGTTTCCCCAGATGTAACTGAATATCAAAAGACAGTTTCACCCTAAAATAGTTTTCTCTATCTGATAAACTTTTATTTTACAATTAACCTTGCATAGAGAATAAATCTTAAGGGACCATGACACATAGGTCATTTGATGTTTTCTCCTAAGAAAAGATAACCACATTTTAGAGATGATGCCTTCGTGAAGAACTTCTATTGAAAAATAACACCATTTCAAATATGATCAATTTGAACATAGCAAGCCAGTTTGGAACATCAAGACATCTTACCTAGTTTTCTTCATTCTGGACACTGAATGATCAATAAAGTCTTCAAATAATAGAACTCTGCTCAGACAATGACATGTAATTTGGAATGTTGTAATATAAAGTCAATCCAATTAAATGTTCCCAAGTATTTTATTTTTCCCAAACGTAGCATGTATATATGTCTTTGATGAAAAATGTATTTTTACAGCATACTCTTTCTTCCCTTCCCAATTCCCAGCGATGTTGAATCAATTCCACTGAATGTAGAGAGAACAACGATATGAGAATTGCACCTTTACCATACACACAGAAAAAGAATTTTCTAAGAGTGCAGTTAAAATAAAACAAACAGGGGTTCCTTTGCCTCTGAAGATTGGTAACTGTATGTTGACATGAACACACGTTGACACAGGCTTTAAAATCCTGTGTGTGGGCTGAGGGGGTCTGCTGAGGGGGGTCCCTTCTCAAAATATTTAAACTTGAGCCACTGTACCAATCCCACAAAGCAAAAAGAAAAAAAGGAGGAGGGGGGGAGGAGGGAATAAAAATAAGAAAGAATTTCACTGAAAATATAAAAGGAATTACCCATGGGAAGAGAATACAGCAGAAAGGATGGGATGCAGCGAAACAGTGTCAGGAGTGTGTCAGTGAGAACTTCAGAAAGGTTGGAAATACTCCCCAAAGTAAAATATTTGAATCCCCAGCCACAACCAAAGGAAAACAGACATTTGCAGGCATAATAAAAATATATAACAAATTGAAGGAATTCCACTAAAAGTCTTGTGTGAACTAAAACAGCAAAAGACACAGAAAGGAAGAAACCTTGATGATGAAAATTTGGCAAATCTAAGCAAGTTTAAAGTAGAGTGGCTTTTCTTTCCCCTTAGCTTCTTTGAGGTCAATGAAAGATAGGAGAATGCAAGGTGGCTAAGGGGGAGGAGGATGTAAAAGGGGGAAATGAATGGACAAATTAGCAGGATAATTAATGCATGGGAAAGGGGCGGGGAATACCTGACTTAGAGGAGGAAAAAGAAGCAAGATAGAGCTATTTGTTAGTGCCTAAAGGGAGGAAAAAGACAAGATTAAGAGGCTCTAACTGGTTGTAGAAAGAAGGCTGAAGTGGGTAAAATGTTACATGATGTAAGGTTCAGAGATGATGCAGGGATGTGTGTAGAAAATGGGGTGAGGTGAAGATGAATGTGCTTGAAAGTGGCTGAAGGAGTGGGGGTCTCCCCAGGACAAAGGGAGTTTACTGGATAGATGGAAGATGGGGAATTTTTCGAAGTCTGGATGGGGAAAGTGAGATGAGTAAAAAGATCTGAGTGGATACATGATGGTGCCTAAAGAGAAATTTTATTCCCCAAAGTAGCCTTCTTTTCTTTCTTAGTTATACTGATTAGCTTTAGGCCCTATTCTTTCATTAGTCCTCTTTTCTGGATGTTACATTATCTTCTTAACATATTTGCTTCCAGTCTCTACTGTAATACATCAATGTATTCAATTCTTCATTTAAATGCAAACAACAATAATATTTCTACTGTGTGCTATCTATTGCCCAATTTTCTCAGGCTATTTTATTGTTGTTACTTTAACGAATTTGCTGGAAAAAAATATTCAAAGATGTTCTAGGTCTACAAAACACACATATACCTCTAAACTTTGTAACAAGACACCAAGCCCTCATGCCCTTCCTTACTTATTCTGTGCAGGTCATGACCTTCCAGATACATTTCTTGGCTAGCCACTGACTAGGAATGACTATTTTTAAAGCCACAGACCTCTCTCTCCTTTATGAACCTCTTCTCAACCTCTTAACAAAAATTAATTCCTCTCTCCATTATGTTCAATTACATCATTTATCACATCGTATCCTAGATCTATAAGAGTGTCATGGCTCAAAGAGGCCCATGCCATGTTTGTCATACTCTCTTTTGTATTCCTAGAGCCTAGCACATTGTCTGGCACAGTAGGTGACTAATTAAAGTTTGTGGACTCCTCAGTGAACAAATACAGGGATGACACCTCCTTTAAATTATGTGAAGCAAGATTCTTGGAGAGAATTAGCCTTCAAAATTTCATTCCCTGAATAATTTTCTTTCCCACTAAGAAAACGTGGCTGCCATACATATTTTTTCAATGTACCTCAAGGCCAGTGGCTTATATAAACTCTCCTTGTCGATGTGCCTCGCCTTGCTCCACCAAGAATCTTATAAATCCTAGCTAAAGGCTGTTGTGGACTGCTTGCGCAGAGAAAAAGAATTTTCTGCTTTCTGAATCTCTTAACCAGATTGCTTCCCTGCCACCAGCAGTCTGGAAGCTCTCTATCAAGAATTTTTATCTCGCAAAAAATAAATAAATAAATAAAGTTTTGAATACCAAGAGAAGGAAGAATGTGAAACCTGCAATCCCTTCTGCCAGGCCTTTCAGCTGCTGAAACCCAGCATTACCTGGACGTCCTTCAGAATCCAGTCCGGTGACAAAAAGGCCAAGGAGCCAGGGGGAAGGGGCAGGGAGTGGGGGTACACAGTTTATTTCAACCCTTAGCAAATGACTGAGCTCTAGAAAATGAGTGTGTTTTATGCTTGGTCGGAGTTTCTTTCCCATTCCTGTATTTCAGACGCACAGCAACTTTAAGTTTGCTGCCAGCTATACGTCATGAAAGGGAAGCTTTTCATCAAAGGGAAGAAGAAAAGGAAGGGGGAAGAATCCTACTTTTACAAAACAGAGTAATTCTTTGCTCCTGCTCCCTTTGCCCACATCTCTCACCTGCGTCCAAACCAAAACACAGTAAGTAAGCAGTTTGTTGCGACACCCCTTGAAGATTTTTTCCTTTGGAAGGTAAATTCTGCTCCAGGCGCCAGTTGCCTCTACACGCCCTGCCTCTGCCCCTCCCTCTTGCCCTGTGCAACCTTCTCCAACTGCATTCTGCGGCCCTTCTACCAAAGCTAAAGAAGGAATTGTCCGCAATCAGGAAAACAGATTAGCCTCCAATTTGGCAAAGCAGGGGCTTGCTCCTTAGGACTATAAGAGCAAGCTCAAAAGGGAAGCCGCAGCGGGCTTCCGTCTTAAAGAAACCTATTCCTGCATCATCCCAATTTGGAGCGCGGGTCTCTAAATAAAGAGCATGGTGGTCTCTCCCCTATGGCAGTAGTGGATAGAGCCTTTCCGCAACTTCCAATTTGCAGTTTCTTCTTTCTGTGAAGGGGATTCCCCAGCCTGCGCTTTCGCCTAAGGTTACAAACCCTCCCCCACCTCACAATTTTGTGGGAAAGATGACCCTCCCCGCCTTCTAGAGAGCTTGCTCTGTGACAGGCGAAGCAGCAGCCACGGGGGTTTTTTTTTTAAAGAGGCGTTCTTCACATCTTTTTTATCACCCGAGGGGAGAGAAAACAGCAGAAATTTAACACCAGTTACTACTATTATTGCATCTGGAACACTTGCCCTCTAAAATGTTGCTAAATAAGTAAAGTCACTGTGAATAGTGAAGGTGCAAGCTGAAAAAGGGAGAGAGCTGGGGCGCGGAGGAAAGGAGGAAATGGAGGAGGGAAGACCCCAAATCTGGGTTTGAACCCCGGGTTTAAAACCGGCGGCGGGCCGCCAGCAGTGGCCACCCCCGCCTCTGGCGCCTTAGCGCGCCTCTGAGGAGCGAGGGACTGGAAGGGGGGGGGCTGCGAGCCAGGACCCAGGAGGGGCCGAAGGGACACGAGGGCGGCTGCGCGCAGGGAGCGCGCGGGGCAGGGCTGCTCGTGCTTGCGGGTCGGACTCGCCGCTCGGCTTCCCATCGGCCGGGCCAAGCCTCTCTGCAGCTGACATCATTGCCAGAAGGAGGGGCTGCCCCTGCCAAGGCGACTGAAGAACAGGGTTCTCCGGCCTGGTAGGCAAAGGCGCTCCCTCGCCGCTTGGCGAGTGTGGCGACCTGGCAGCTGCAGCGGGACTCAGCTTTTGGGAACTGCCGCAGCAATTCTTAATTTAGTCGAGGGAGAAAGGTATCTTTAGACCTTAGCGCATCCATCTCTCGGTTCTTTCGTCAAGACGGCCCGCACACGGTCCGCGCTCTCTCTATGATGAACTAGACAAAGGCAAGAAAGGGGGAAACGTGTACATACACTATTACTTCGACTTGCTTCCAATTGCTTCCCCACCCCCAGCCCCGCCGCGACACACACACACACACGCGCGCACACACACACACACAGACCCACAGAGGAAAGGCCAGCCCTGGCGCTGGAATTTCCTGCTGGGATTGCGAGAGTTTGTTTCAAACAAGATTAAAAGTGGAATTCCGTCAGTCTTTACCAAGTTGCGCGGGTGCCCTCAAGTACCGTTTCCTTTTCTATTTTGAGTCACACCTGTTTTACTTTTTAGGGGGCCTAGATCGCTTTAAGTCACAAAGCACGTCTATGTTCTCAGGTGTGCTCAGCGTTCGGAATTCTCTGCATGCTCCTCAGGTTGTTTCCTGGTTGCAGCGCTAAGAGCGCACAGGCGACTGCTATGACACCATCGCCTCCTCCCCATCTTTGCTGCCCCCCCTCCCCCTTCTACCCGGATTTTCAACCAGTTTCTTCCACACACTTTTCTTCGTACAAAACAGATCCTAGGCTGGGTTTAAATCCCATTTTGTGATGTTTCCACACAAGAAAAAGACACTTTAAAAATTTTTATTTTGTTTGTTGTTGAGCTTTAATTCTTTTTCTTTTGTCCTAGCCCCTCTTCCCCACGGTTTTTGCTTTGTGGGTGTAGGCCGCAGTGGCGCAAATAGCAATTCCCAGCCCCCAGCCCATATTTTGCATCGGAGAGGCCAGGGCTCACCCGTAAGCGCTTCACATGAGCAGCCTAGCGCCCCACACCCTAAGCCGCAGGCGGGTGAAGCAGAGGAACGCGGAATAAATCATTCTGAAGCAAAAGGGCCCACCTTCGGTTAAGCTCTAAAAGTCTTTCCCTGGGAGAGGCAAGGAAGCGGCTCTGGCTGTACACTCTGAGAAAGTGACCTCTCCTCCTAACCCTCAGTCCGTTTGCGACTAAGCGCTCAGATGCGAGTCCCAGCCGCAACCCGGGCGGACTGCCGCTCCGCTCTTCTAAAGTCTAAAAAATGCACCCGTTTGCGGCTGCTCGCTTTTAAAAAGTCACATTTTCCGATGAACCTCTTTTAAAAGGTACATTACTTTCCTCGAAAAAAAAAAGAGCCGTTTTATCGCTACGCGCTTTAAGAAAAAGAATTCCTTTGTGAGGACGTGAACTGTTTCTGGGTTCTGTCTTAGAAAACACCATCTATTTATGGGATAGGTGGGCGGTTTATTGATTTATTTATTTGGCTAAGGGATTACAAGTCATTTCTTTAGAGAAAGAGGAACCCTTTTATGTCTGGCAATACTCTTAGAAAAGTCATTTTTTTAAAATGAGAAAATGATGCCGTTTTTCGGCTAGATTATAAGTTGATTTTTAAAAAATAGGCAGTATTTCTCACACCTACCATCTCCACATCCAGCAGGTGCTGGCTGAGTACAGCCCCATAAATAGGGCGGGAAGGAAGGGCGGGGAGGTGAGCGCCAAGAGAAACAGCACCGGGAACCCTGTGCGCTCCTGGCCCTCCTCTCTGCGCCAAGGGTCGTACCCTCAAGGGTTGGAGCCAGCCTGGCAGGGATCCAAACCCGAGCCCCCAGAGGAGCGCAGCGAGGCCAGGGGTAGTTTCTCAGCTAGAGGCATCGCCCCTCAGCTCCAATCTCTCAGCCGGGCGAGTCTGGGAGTCCGGGACGTGCTCTTTTGTCAACACCCGCCCCAACCTTAGAGTTTCCCTCAGCCTCGCTGAAGCTGGCTGTACCCTTTAAAGGGAGAGACCTTTTTGCACAGCCAATGTCGGGGAAATTCATGCGCCGACACATTTCTGACAAAAGTGAGAGTTTTCCCAAAGTAACGAAGCGCAGCGGTGGTAGTGCAAAAAGATATTCTCCCTGCGCTCACCTCCGGGGTTTGCTCTTTCTCTTCCCTCCCGGGAAGAGAAGGGGGAAGGGAGAATAGCAGAAGCGTCTTTAAAACCACCCCGTTGTCATAGTTCAGACCTCAGGGGCAGGCAGCGGGCAGTGTCCGCGCACTAAGTGTGGACCTCACGCCTCCCTGACAGCACCCTGTACAGGTACCCAGTCCGGTTACTTACCTAATAACGATGCCTTTAGAGTAGAATGAAGAGGTAAACGAAAGGGAGAAAAAAGGCTTCCGCCCGCTCCACGGAGACTGCGACTGCTGTAGCGGGCTCTACCGCCACAGCTCGCAGTCCGCAGAGCAGCCGGAGTCGCTGAGGTTGTTTCTGAGGCTATTCAGGCAGCCCGGGCTGCCTGTGCTGCCTGTGTCGCCGCTGGCACTGCCACTCTGCGCACTCTGTTTGGCTTGCCTTCCTCTTTGCCGCGCGGGCAGCTGAGTGCAGCTACTGCTCACGGCTCCTCCCGCCCAGACAGTTCGCCGACTGCAAGGAGCCAGTGCCGAGCCAGCCCTTTTGAATGGCGAGGGGGAGGGACTTAACAGAGGGGGAGAAAGGGGAAGGAAGGGGGGTGAACCAGGGGAAGGCGTGGGGAGAGAAGTGAACCAGTGTCCGGGCCGCCTGCTGGGAAGGGATGGCGCAGCACCAACTGCTGAGTACCCCCCTCTGGTCCCCACTCCCTGCACCTCACATCCCCCATCGATCCGGGGGCGGCCCCTCCCCGCTGACGGAGAACCAGCAAGAAGGGCGGGGGAGAGATGGAGGTAAGCTTAGGAAGTTACTGCTCGCCTCCTGGAGAAGGAGGCAGAAAGCGTGCTGGCAGCACTCTCGCGTGCGGGACCCGCTGCTGAAGAAAACGCGCCGCTTTCGGGCTGCTAGCTTTCCTGAGCAAAACCCTGTGCATACAATGTTCTCCTCGGTCCTCTGCTCACTCTTCTCTTAGGCTTCCCTTTAAGTTTCACCCATTCACATTTTCTCAGAGAAGTTTGATTTTTCTTGTGTGTTTTTCTTGTGATACCGCTGGCTGCCGACTCCAGCTAGAGAACAAGCATCCCACAGCACCGTTTTCTCATACAAAGGATACTTAAGGCAGACTAGGGGTAGTAGGGGCAGAAGCCTGGCAAAGTCACAGTTTGAGCTGAGAGGCTGTCCGCATATATCATACTCAACTGTGAGCGGGGTCTGGTACTTCGATCGCCTTTCCAGATTAATCCTCTGACAGCAGCGAAGGGCTGTGTGTGTGTGTGTGTGTGTGTGTGTGTGTGTGTGTGAAGGAGGGAAGGAGAAGTTCTAGCGACCTAGCATTTGGCTACCCCAGACAGCAAGCAGGAGTGAGTCAGGTGGCATTGCTGCCAGAGACCAGGCAGCGTCGCGGGCATGGACGGCGCTTTTCCAAGGTAGGAAAGGGGGCAAGAGAGGGAGGAAACCAGCCCGGAGCCTCATGCCTGGTGCTTGCCAGCCAGCTCTGGCTGCCTGGTGGGCGACGGCTGGGTGGGCATCCGGGTGCCAGGTCCCCAAGGACCACTAAAGGTACCAGGAGGAATGTGGCTGGTTTATGCCTTCGAAGGGTCGTGGATATAAGGAAGTAGGGGCCAATTCTCCCGTTCCTGGCATGTGATTAAAAAACCAGTAGTAACAACATCAAAACCACCCCAGCTGGTCAACTCTTATTCTTGTTTCAAGGAACAACTCCTTAAATTTACCCAGACGCCAGAAAATTAACCAGGTGAATTTTCTAAATTCCTCTCTCCAGAAAGGTGTACGATTTTATGGGGAAAATCCACTTTCTGTGCTTATCCTGTAGAAAAACTTATCTTTCTGGGGCTGTGCAATTATTTGAAAGTAGGTGGCTCTTTTTCCTGAAATAAAAGGAGAAAAAGTAGAGAATGTTTCAGAGCACCAATAACACAGTATCCATTTTTTATTTTTTGTCTACTGAATAGAAGAGGAGATGACATCTGCATAGAGATAGAACATCAAGAAGGAAAAATTTTCAGAATTATAATAAGTTGCTTTTCTCTAATAGCTGCTTCAGGGAAAGTTTTTTAACTGAAAGGCAAATCCTTATGACTTATTTCCCCAGTATATCCTTCTCCATCTTCTTAGCTGCCTCCTTTCCCATTCCTGATATTTTGAAGGTTAAATCCTTGGTTCAAATATTCCTCACGTCACTTTTTTGCATATTTTTATACCGAAAACCATGCTACTAGGAGAAACATCAGCACCGCAGCTCAATGCAGGTCTGCATGAAAGAAAACAGAGAAATATTTACTTGCACAGGTGTGAGGAGACACTTCACTATTACATTTTGCTCCTCCTGTAACTGTCCCTTCATTATTCACAGTATCCAGCACATGCATTGTACTCTTCTTGGGAGCTAGGAAATGTCTGAGAGGGGAAATCAGAAGCTGCTAAATGGTTACAGCTCTGACTCTTGGGGATTGCAATACTGTATGAGACTGTGTCATGGGAGATGGCAGGAACTCAATGCAAATAAAATCACTGATTGATCCAGGGACAGTGTGGCACAGGCATGCTATGGGAGTGCTTTCAAATACTAAGAATTATTCATAACATCCACATTAGATATCAATTAATTGATTTCTGAAGATTTCCATTTAATCCCTAGGCAGGAGAAGAGAACTATTTTGTCACCGTTTAAAGTATTTAAAGTTATCATGACAGACTTATGAGGTTAATATTATTATTCCATTTTGCAATTCCTGAAACTGAAATTCATAGAGGACAGGTGATTTGCACAAGACCATGACGCTAAAGAGTAACAGACTCTAGATTTCTATTCAGGGTATATAACTCATAAATTCAGCTACATGGTTACTTTATAGTTAATCTGAATTCTTCTATATATAATATGGAGCAGAGCATTTAGTTTTAGGTGGATAGTCCAATAGGAAGTGATCTGAATAGATTAGAAACATTACTTACAGACCAAGGAGACTCTACTAGTTGAACTAAGCAAACCAGAAAGTTACCTAAGAAATTGAGTCTGTTGAAAAGACTGACAGAAATCCACATCTGAAAATAATGAAAATTTTCCCCCATTTTCTTTTCTCCTGTATTCTGTCTGATGGTGGCACCAATGAGCAACGGAATAACCAAAAGGCACCTGGCAAAAAGCTCTAGGCATTCTAACTCTAAAAGGACTGATGAAGACGCTTTTCTGACTACAGACAGAAGGACTCCCCGTTACTGAATGTTTTTAATGTACCATCTGCATTATATAAATTGTCCCATTAATCCTCCAAACCATTCTAAGAGGTAGGTATTATTAGCTTCATGTTTTCCTTAACAAATGAGAAAACAGAGACTCGGTAAAAATGCCCAAGGTATTATAGCTGTAAAATACACAGGAAATTCCAACCCATGTTACGTCCAGTCCATTGTGCTGCCCCTCAGCATACGGTCTTCAGATTGTGTAGTGACACATTTTCAGAATGTGCATTACATAAAAATTTTATGACTAACAAAAGTCCTCAAAAGCAAAAAGGGCACTGTGGGAATCTGGTTTTTGGATGAGGTGTCAGGAAGGAACTGTGATATTTATTGCATTTTGTTTCTTCAGTGTTCCCATTAGGAACCTAGACCAGGGTTCTGCTATGATCATAAAAGGGAAATTATGGTAATATATACCCCCATAAACATGGAAATATGCATATTCTCTGAGGGATAAACTATAAAGCCATTCTGATTATATAATGGATCAAAGAAGAGTTTTCAAAAACATTGGTGAGTAAGGATGTTTCTCAGGCCTGTAAGAATTGATTAAAACCAAGAAATAACATGCCCATCTAAAAAAGGATTGATCAGCCATAGAATCCTGGTGAAAGAAAACAGAGAGATGAGCATTGGCAACACCTATTCATGTACATTTTCACTCTCTGACAAAATCACCCTTGATATGAGATTGATGAAGCCAATCAAATATTGTTATTTTAATTCACCTTGCATGAAACATCCCTTATCAAGCAATCTGTCATCTCATTGTGATCTGTCTTTCCTTATAGTCTCTGTTCAGAGAAGGAGTGTACAGGTCATGCAGATAGATGACAACAGAGTAATTTGTATTTATCATGTGACAGTTATTTTGCACTAAATTCCATTCTTTTTTTGTGTTTTACATCACAAATTGCACTATTCATTGCACAGACATGTGATAATCAATAGATCATCATTGCTATTGGGAAAGTAGATTGGTGTATGGGAATGAAACAGAAAGACTGGATAAAACACATTCTCCATGATATTTTTAATGTTTAATATTAAACCATCAGCAACAATTGCAATAGGAGGGAGTGATGCTCAGTAGTTAAGAAAAAACCTTTGATTTTTGACCAAATTTGGAGTCTTGGCTCTGCCATGTTCTAGCTGTCTGGCTGTGAAGAAATTAATCTCTAGACCTGTATTGTCCAATAAGATAACCACTACCCACATGTGGCTACTGAGCACATGAAATGTGGCTTGCCCTAGTTGACATATGCTTCGAGTGTAAAGTACACACCCAATTTTGAAGGTATATCACATAAACACACACACACACACACACACACACACACACGTATGTAAAATATATTGACCAGATGCCATGGTTCAGGCCTGTAATCCCAACACCTTGGAGGACCAAGGCAGGAGGATTGCTTGAGCTCAGGAGTTCCAGACCAGCTTGGGCAACATAGTGAGACCTCATCTATACTAAAAATAAAAAATTCACCAGGTGTGGCAGTGCACACCTGTAGTCCCTGCTACTCGGGAGGCTGAGTTGGGAGCATTACTTAGGCCCAGGACTCGAAGGCTGCAGTGAGCTATAATTGTGGCGTTTTGCTCTAGCCTAGGCAACAGAGCAAGACTCTGTTTCAATATATAATATAATATAACATAATATACCATTATCATTGCATATCAGTTACATGATGAAATAATATATTGACTCATTGGTTCAACAAATATATTATTAAATTAATTTCAACTGTGTATTTTTAATATTTTTAGAAAATTTCAAATTACATGTGTGGCTTGCATTACGTAGCTTTTTGGACAGAGCTGTCCCAAAAAGCTACAGTTCCTTCATCTAAAATTAGGGATAATAACCTTATCCACCTCAAAATATTGTAGTGATATTTAAATAAGGTAATTCATCTAAAATGCTCAGCAGAATGTCTAAAATAAAGCTAAAAAGTTGTCACTCTCCAAGACATAAACAAATAAAGATGTTAAGGAAAATTAAAAGATAACATAAACCTCAAAGGGATAGAGAATGCTTAAAGCAAAAGCCTTAGTTAAGAATTCATTTCTCTTTATCCCAAGTGAAATCATTCTGCTTCTCTCTTTAAAAGCAACAACAAACATTCATGTGTCATCACAGGGGTAGGGGAACTATACTGTGACCTACAAA
The DNA here is from genome assembly GCF_000001405.40 of Homo sapiens. NCBI lineage: Eukaryota > Metazoa > Chordata > Mammalia > Primates > Hominidae > Homo > Homo sapiens. Next base: position 4,995,375 of record NC_000024.10, on the reverse strand, counting down.
TATTATAGTGCATATGCAAATGATATGAGAAGTTAAAAGTACTTTCTCAATTCCAAGCATTTTTACTATCATAATTTGTACAGGCAGTTTTACATTTAATTGGTAGATATTTCTAGTATTCAGGCATTCACGTCACAAATGATAATAAGGCTGAAACTGGTACAGATACACAAAAGACAAATGAATTTCTTCGGAAGCTAAAGATTGAGAAATGGGAGAAGGTCTGCTTGTTACCGAGCTCTATGCTGTCGGTGGTTTAACTGCTTTACCTAGCAGCTCACCAAATGCATATCTCAGCTGGAGACACTAGAGGGTACTATTACTGAAAACATAGATGAATGAAATCTTTCAACACACTTCCCCCTCTCCACCACTATAATGTATAAGAATATTTGAAAAGGGCGTATCTGTGAAATGAAAGTAACATTTCTCCATTCCCTCCTGTATATGACTTGCAAGGATTTTTTGGTTTTTCTTTTTTTGTTCTGTAGACCTGGGACTGGCCTTACAACACCATCAAAATAAAAAATATATATATCAGAAGTGTACTATAATGTTTGGGCCAATAATTGGGAAAAGTTTGAACTCGTTCCCTGCTCTGAGAAATGCTTTACTGAAATTCCAAGGAGGGGAAGAAAAGAAGGGCTTTCTATAGAGGAAAGATTTTGATAAGAATTCTTAACTACTTCAACGACCTCTGTAATTAATAGGGGTGTGACAACTGTTTGGTAGTCAGGTCATATAGAAGATGTTTTTTTTTTCCAGTAGGCTTGAACAGCTCCACAATTGCAGTGGATAAAAGCTGTAGCTGAATTTCTTTCACAAGAACCTGACAATTACAGCCTTATGTTTATAGCTGAACTTTGCTGAAGCACTGAGCGCTGATTATAAATGATTATAAATTATAAATGATTGTAAATGTGGGGTTGTTCTCAAGGTTGCTCTTTTCCCCTGAAGAATTAATTTCTCCTACTTTACTCTTATTTTTCTGCAAATGAATAGCTGCAAACTGTACCAGATGAGGATTTTCATCTGTGTGCTACTGGCCTGTGTTGTGATGGCAGCACGTGAATGGGGAAAATTATTGTTTTTTAAAGAGTAGAATGATTAGAATGCTATTAACAGTCTCTATCTTTCTTGTTTCTTTAGGACAGGTTTTGCCTTAAGTTATCCAGATGTTGTGTGGTGAGGTGAAGGATTCCAACAGTTTTGTTCGTTGAGAAAAGCAGAATCCTTTTTTTTTTTCATTAACAATGAGAATGAATTTTCCTATTCCATCAAGATTTCTATGTGGCCATCTCTTCAGGACATAGGTATCAGCTACTGTTTTAAATTTAGGAAATGCACACACATATGCAACCAACCACATAATGTTTCCAAAGCAATATATTGAGATTGATACAAATACACATTTTTCAAGAATCCTGGACTAATCCCACACTACTCTGAGCCGCCTTTACTTTTTAAGCCTCTTTATTTCTATTATATGACTGTGAACTAAGTAGATTTAACTTTTGTATGCTTTTAAAATCAGTTATATTTTCTGATATGTGATAACAAATATACTGTGTATTTCATTGAAACGTATAGGAAAACTGCTCTTTTTTTCCTTTTAAAATCAATGCCTATGGTATAGTCAACAAAGTATTTAATGAGTGGCTATTTTGAGCCATTTTTAATTGGCTGGACTACTGCAGACATACCATTTTAAATGATTACACATATGTCTAGAGAATCAGCATAGGATTTTTGTTTTCCCTTTGAGATTGAACAATTTTTATTTCATCATTACTAAAACTTAGCTGACAATTTTTATTTTTTCATTACTAAAACTTAGCTGGATGTCAGTTTCTGCCTTTAAATAAAATATCCAAATCCAGGATTATTCTCAATTGCAAAAATGCAGCTGGTCTCAACTATTCCTTTTATATTTTCTTTCACATAGGGTAGAAAATGGTGAATCATTGTACTTTCATATAATAAAAAGATGTCTTGAATTTTAAATGTAATTGTCCTTTCTTGAGTAACTTCTAAATGAAGTGAAACCACAAAGGCAGTTTGGCACACTATTGATTCTATCCTGGTTATCTTTTTTGTCAGGCTAGAATGTGAAGGGAAAGGGTTTGGAGCACAGAATGGTTTTCCTTTTAAAGAAAAAAAATTGAATGAAAAATTGGCAATGAAAATAAAATACTGGACCTAGATTCCCCAACTCTGTGAATGTTGTTATTATTAGCCTCCACCTTCTCTAGCCCTGTTGCTGGAGCCAGACGCACTAGTCTCTCCTTCAGGCTGAACTTAATCCTGTCATAATAAAGAATCCTTCAGAAACCTTCACTTTGTCAACTGATGGATTTTTGAATTCGATATTTTTTCAGACCCACTGTTCAGTGTTCTTGTAGTGGATCGACCAGATCTGCGTTTTACTCCAAGTCCAAACCTAGTGTTCTAGTTCATACAATTAGTCGTCTAACTCAGTTATCTGGGGACACTGTAGTACCCGTTGCTATTACTAGTGCTCAGGCTCTGATAGTTGGAGCATTGGCACCCTGCTTGGTTTCCACCAGTCCCTTTCTGTGGTGCTCTCAGCTCAGTGTCAAGGAAATATTACCTGCTTCGCTGAGGGTCATGATCCCAAAAGGACAAACTGCTTAGCACTGTCCTACAAATAAGATTACTTATGACTCTAGCTTCTCATTTTATGTTTTATATCCTTGGATCATTTATTCTATGGAAGATGCTGAAGTGGGTAGGCTGTGTTGGTAAGACTTTTTCTGTTTATCAAAATAAGTAATGATGCCTTCCAATGACATTTGTTATTCTTGAATAGTGTGACTGAATTACTTAACACCCACACTTCCAAAACCAGATTTAGATCCAAAAACTAGATTTAGATAAATCATAGATAACTGGAAAATAGTCTGTTATCCCCAAGTGGATTAGGTCTCAGAGAAGAGGAGAAGGAGGAGGAGGGTGGGACATAAGGGATAGGCAAACTCAGGGTCCTGAGGAGGGGAGTCAGTAGAGATACTTTTTTCTTTTTAAATTATTTTTCTTTTATTTTTCCTTCAAGTTCACTACCGTAACTTTTCAAATTTATACCATGCTACATCTCTTTCAACTTTTCTGCATGTACTCCAGCCGGGTAAAATGCTCATCTGGAGACTGATGTGGAAGTGAAGATGATAGGGAAGAAAGGAATTGAAGTCACCTACTCCCTTCATAATGATTTCCTTTCTGAAAACTCTCCAAGGAAGAGAAGGGTGTTAGCAGTTAGCAAATGATGTAAAGACCACAAATTGGTGTTCAAACCCTGTTTACTTTGAGCTCCCTGTTTACTTTGAGACCCGAGTTTAGGCAGCGTAGTCTGCAATAGAAAGAGAAACTAGGAGAGAAGGCAGTGATGGCGTGTGCACTCTGGCCAAGGCCCTCTAGGGGGCAGCAAAGGAACAAATTGGAGTTGGGGGAGGTAGGCGTGGTGCAGGTTTATACGGAGGATTTCCTGTGTTTCTTTAATACGTAAATATGTGTTGTGACTCTCCAGCAGGGGGATATTAAAAGTTTATTCAACCAGAGAATCTTTTTGAGGTAGTATGAAAAATACTGCTTGACAGTTGTAAAAGTGCTTGGCTCTTCAAACCTGTCAGCCTATCATGATGTTGATCACTCTGCATATAGCTATTTCCATCAACATTCATTTGATCCCTTGACGTGCTACTGCTCAATCCAGACCAGACCCAGTTTCAAAACTGAGACTACGAAGAGCAATTTATGGATATGAAAATGAAAGGAAATAAAAAGAATAAATCTGTACATTGTGACACAGACACAAGGACTTCCCATTGTAACTATTTTTGACATAATATATTACATTTTTTGCCTAGAACTTGTGATGCATGTAACACAATTTTAACTTAATAAGCTCCTTTTGTTTTGGCTATATTTTTACGGCATGGCATGTAGGAAAAATAAAAGGCTATGATGTATATTACCTAAGAATCTAGAAAGCCTCGATTCAACTTGTGATTCTTTGACATTCTAGCTGTAGAACATTGGATAAGTTACTCAAATTCTTTCAATTTCAGTAACTATGTATTGAGAAATGAAATTACCTTGAGAATTGTTATTAGAAACATAAATGAGATAACATAAAAACTGCCATGAAGTACCCGATAAAAATATTTCAATGTAATTTAGCACTCAAAAAATTAGACTTCATTAGGCAGCGAAAGCAGTCATTGAGGTAAAATGAGGCAAAAGAAAAGGGAGGTGGATATAGCTGTATTATCCATTCACTCATTTGTTAGTTCATCTATTCATTCATAAACAAATACTTATTGAAGAACTCTACATCCCAGGCACTTTTAAGCCACATTAATTCATTAAATAGACTTTCTACTTCATGTTTGGTTTTTAGTTCTAGGTAGTGAGTTATATAATGATAAGTACAACCCCAGCATTGTATAAGTCACTATCCCTTTCACTATTTAATTGAAGTAGGCAGGTAAAAGGGATTGGTAACCTCAATTTATTTGCATAAAATAAATATTACCTCTCACTCCCACCACACAATTTGAATCTCTCTGAGGATATATTGCACCCTGAAATACGGTCCAAAATTTATAATTCACAATCTTTTTTATACACATCTATGTTTATAGATATGGATACAGATATTGATATAGATATATAGTGATGAATATTTTGCAACAGGGTGTTGTTCTTATTTTATATCTTATGAACAGCCACACATTGATTGAATAACTGATACAAATAGAGGCAGATTTACCATGGAGCTAAGGAAGTTTAAGATTGAGGGTCCTTCACTTACACTGGCCTCTTTTGAGGCCTGATATTACAAAATTATTTTCATGTGAAGAGGCAATCCAATGATAGGCACCCAAAAATGTTGGGAAAAAGTATCACAGATATTTATGTATAGGAAAAAACGTAATACATACAGGGTTTGGTAGTCTTTACAGTTTCAGGCATCCATGGGTGTTCTTGAAATGGGAAAAGAAAAATATTACAGAGATGTGTCAAGCAGCTTATTATTAAAAGTATATAATTTTCTTGGATTCTATAATGTTTGTGATATTTGTCAGCTTCTATAAATTTGGCATTTGTCGTAACCTCTCTTTATAAATAAATATTCTGGTTATACAAAATTTTGTATGGTAATTTTGTATTCTTTTTTTTAAAGAGAGTTAACGTGTAAGTTTCAGATTCCAAAAACTAGGATTCATCCCTATTTATCCATATCAAAAGACCTGTCTTTTATTCTTCCAGAGGAAATACAAAATTTAAAAAACTGGAACTTAAGTTATAAGTTTGTACCTTTATGAGTAGATTAATTTGGACCTACAAAATAACTTCAGATTTTAATTCTGAAAAAAATTTAATAGTTTCTGTAGTTTTCTGTAGTATGATTCTTGGCTACATCAGTGACTAAAGGGAAAATAGAAACCTCCATACGCTTGTGGACGAGATTATAGTTCTTTCATTTACAGAAAGCATGCAATAACCATATGTAGCTCTGTAAACTAGGACTGGCCTTTATCAACTTAGAGATTAGTGAATTTGTTCGAGTTTTGGACTTTTGGTCATAGACATTTTTATTCTCAGATAATCATCTGTCATATTTAAAGGATATATGGGATTCCTGATGAATCAAATAAAATGGAATTTTATATTGAACATAAAATAGAAAACTATCAAATCCATCATTCTTTTGAGTTCTATGATGATGATCCTCTCTTGGATTAGTTTTTTCCACTTTGAACTGCTAAGTATATTATATTTCACACAAAGGAACATTAGTCAAATTTAAAAACTTTTCTTCAGACAAGTTGTCATTTTTGTTATTTTTAAATGACAAGAGATAGGAAGAAATTGCAGTTTTCTCTATTCCAACTGATGTTCTATGCTGTTATTTACAATGTGCTCTGAAAAGAAAAGGACATCATAATTTAGAAACAAAATTAAAGTGAATGGGATTCCTTTATGAAAATACAGTGTAATTAAACTTCAGCAAGTCTAGATTCACATCCCCTGAATCTCTTAATTGTTTTTATGTTTGCTACAATACTGCACATAGTATTTTTCAATTTAAAACATGTTCATAGTTGTATAAGAGAATAAGCAACTTGAAATTTATTAGTTAAAATGAAGCACTTGTTAATTAAAATGTCATCAAATCTTGAATTTTCTTCTTGGATCAGTTTCCTTAAGTAAAGCAGGTGTGTGTTTAGAGGTGTCAGAGGCATTTGAACCAGACCAAATCCATCTTGCATAGGGGCTGGGGAAAATAAGGCTGAAACCTACTGGGCTGAATTCTCAGGAGGTTAGGTATTCTTAGTCACAGGATGAGATAGGAGATCAGCACAAATTATGGGTCACAAAGACCCTGCAGATAAAACAGGATGCAGTAAAGAAGCCAGCCAGCTTCCAACAAAACCAAGATGGCAATGAAAGTGATTTCTGGTCATCCTCACTGCTCATTATATGATAATTATAATGTGTTAGCATGCAAAAAGACACTCCCACCAGTGCCACGACTGTTTACAAATGCCATGGCAACATCCAGAAGCTACCCTATATAGTCTAAAAAGGGGAGGAGCCCTCAGTTCTGGGGAAATCCCCATCCATTGCCTGGAAAACTCATGAATAATCCACCCCGTGTTTAGCATATAATCAAGAAGTAACTATAAGTATACACAGTCCATGCCACTGCTCTGGCTCTGGAGTAGTGATTCTTACTTTCTTTACTTTCTTAATAGACTTGCTTTCACTTTATTCCATGGACTCACCCTGAATTCTTTCTTGTGTGAGGTCCAAGAACCCTATTTTGGGGCCTGGATCTGGACCCCTTTCTGGTAATAGAGGTATGGCCAAAGATCCATTAGTGAATAATGATGAATAACTGCACTGCCTGCATATGTATATGATCCTGCCTGTTCCTTTTTATTTTATTTTTTAAGCAGTGGTGATGAGTTTCCTTTATGATCAAAACGTAGATATTCATTAGAGGCTTAGTTAATGGCAAAGGGCCTAGTATGGGGGGAGAGAAAATATTTTTTCTGTACAAAATTAACTAGCCTATGTGACTCAAATTCATGTGCTTGGGCTCATTAGCACAATGCTCTAACTAATTAAACTAATGAATCTCAAAATAATGACAAATCCTAAGTTTGAAAGAATAAAGTTCTTTAACTCAGCTTGTTAAAGACTATTAAGCAAGTTTGACAAAAATGTTCTAACACTTCCTGAAATCACAATGACATTAGGGAGCAAGAATTGTATTTCTTTCCTTTCCTCATGATACTTGTTCATAAATGCAGAGAATGTCATAAATTAGCAGTCAGTAGTCTACTGGTAAAGTATTGATAGTAATGATAAACCTAAAAGGTGATGAGGGACTCAAAAAAAAAGGAAGATAAGGATTAGAAATGCTGGATATTACTAAGACACTAAGTATTCCTGTTCACACACAAAAGATAATTTAAGAAATTTAATACATCCCTTCTGAAACATATGGTGCTGAATTGGAGACCAAGCCAATGTAAAACCACCAAATCTAGTATTGGGGGATCACCAAATCTAGTATTGGGGGATCACCAAATCTAAATTGGGCAATTAATTTATTTGGGTCATTTTGGTGATCCTAATACCTATTGCAAGAGGACTGAAGCACATCCATGAATTTGCTTATTAAGCTATCTAAAGATTCATTCGGACAGCCATATAACCCTTGCCAAATACTTATTAGCTAAGTGATCCATTTACTTAAAATGGTGTTTTCTAATGCATGTTCCCTGGATTCGTAGTTAATATTAGCCTTAAAGACTCTGAGATGTATTACAGCAAAAAAATATATGTAACATTTTCTAACCCAGAATTTCCCATGTCTGTCTTTTTTCTTTGCTTTTTAACAGTAACACCTATTATTGTACTGTTAAACCCATTTCAAGAGATGGTGACTTGTAAGGCATATATATTCCTACTGAGAAAACATAAAAGAATAGATGAAAATTACTTGTATATTGTAGAAGTATCACAAGAGAAAAATTGAGGCCCAATCTTGTTTACAGTTACTTCATGTCTCTAAATTTTACATTTTTACATTTTAATGTCTGAAATGATATAGTATTTTAAATGGTTAAAATCAAATTAATAAATTTATGTAGCTATTTTTAAAATTCTAGGCACTTGGACTAGAGTATCTTTATTGTGTATCAAAATGTCCATGAATACAGGAAGAGCAACCTCAGTTATTTGGTCCAAGTCCAATTTCTGCTAATTTACATTCTGTCTAATTAAAATACCCTTTATAACATTATATATGTAGTTTTCTTTCACTTTGTCTTTCAAACCTCTGTGTTATGTTGTCTCATATTATTTAGTTGCCAAGTTGCACCACTAAGAAGACAGATACATTGGTTGGTTTGTAAAGTGACTGTAGATGTGTAAGGGAGGGAAAAAAAATATTTTCTTCTACCTTCTCAGATTTTGGATCTAGAGACCTGTGAATTAAACTGAGAAAAGACAGATTATCAAAAGAAAAGGCATACAAACCTTCTTGGTTTTAATATTTTTACATGCACTGGAGCTTCACAGAAATAAAAAACTCTAAGGGGCCTTTAGACCAAGGGGATTATATGCCATTTTAACAAAGAGTGATAAATTATTCAGAAGTGACTAGACAAAGGAAAGTAGTTTGAGATTCTATGGAGTAAATTGTGGGACGGTGACTAGGAAATATATGGGGGAAATAACGGTGGATAGGGGTTGATTATGCACACTCATCTTGGTGCCATCTCCAATGACAAGAATCATTCCCCTCTTTCTGTTATGGGTGAGGAAGACAACTTTACACATGGAAATTTCATTACAAGTGGAAATTTCCTTTACGAAAGTGTAATGTATGACATCAGATGGGGGAGGGCAGAGAGCTCATCCTGTGCCTGATGTTCTCAATTGCCTTCAGGTTAAAATAATCTTTAGCCAAAGTGGCATATTTTGGGGTAGCATATTCTGATCTCCTTCAGATGTTAATCACAGTATATGTGAAACGCATTTTGCTGTGTCATAATTTCTTTGTTAGATTTCTTTTGCATTTGTTTCTTTAAGAGATTAACTTTTTCACAGGCATGAGAAAGAACTAACCTATATTCCAATGTATGTAGTTCAGCACATTACCTCAGTGATCTCATAGACCAATTTCACTTTAGAGATTATTGACATGTCAGGTGATTATAGTCAGGCTTATCAATTTTCCTGATAACAGTCAACCATGAACACTAAAGCCACATATTTAAATTAGAGTTTATTTTGGTTAAGGATTAAAATAGTTTCAGCACAGGATATATTAACAGTTGTCAACAAAAGAAGTCCAACCCTGTAAAATATTTGAAAAGATTTATTCTAAGCCGAATATGAGTGACCAATGGCCTTGACACACCCCTAGGAGATTCTGAGAACATGTGCTCAAGGCAGTCTGGCTACAGCTTGGTTTTATATATTTTAGGGAGACATAAGACATCAATCAACACATGTAAAGTGTCCACTGGTTTGGTCTGGAAAGGTGGGACAACTTGAAGCAGGGGCTTCCAGGTCATAGGTGGACTCAAGAATTTTCTAACTGGCAATTGGTTGAAAGAGTTAAGTTATCGTATAAAGACCTAGAATCAATAGAAGGGAATGTCTTTGTTAAGGAGTTGTGGAGACCAAGGTTCACATTATGCAAATCGAATGAATAGAAGGGAATGTTTCTTATAAACTTAAAGAGGCTATTCTATCAGTCTTAAGGTCTCTGTTTTAATATTAATGCTGGTCAGCTGTGCCTAAATACCAAGGGGAGAAGGGGATTTTGAGGTAGGTCTGACTGCCACTTCCCATTATGGCCCGAACTAGTTTTTCAGGTTAACTTTGGAATGTCCTTGGCTGAGGGGGAGATCCATCAGTCGGTTGTGGGTCTTAGAATTTTATTTTTGGTTTAAAAAGTAAAACACTTATTTTTAGTATTTTTTATTAAACTCTCTTCAGGAAATAATATGCTTAATAGATCAATAACATTTATAATTTCATTCTCTAAACCAAAGTCATTTTTGAAAAATCATGAAGGAATTTATAGCACTAAATTGTCATTTTTAAAAAACCCATGAGACATATATTTTTCTAAAATTAACTATATATATATATACATATATATATGCACTCCTTCAATTAGTTATAAAATTATGTTTCTAATTGGATAGCAGAATATCCCTAGTAGCTGTAAATGTTGGCTTCTGTGGTAAACTTTGTTGTAAATTTAAGACAAATGCACATCTTCTTTTAAGTGGCATTCTGAACTCCTGAGGTATGTGTATTGGATGTAAAGGAAGTACTTATTCAATAATTACATACTTTGTTTGAATAGTGGCACTACCCATTTTTAGCTCACTTATAACCAACTATTTTCAATATGTTTTTTAGAAAAGCACCACAAAGCTATACAATTTTCAGGTTGCAAATTTAGTTTTCATCACTTGGGAAGAAATAAAATGTCATGTTCTGAAATGGGACAGCCTAATGGGTCTGGGACTTTCTATGCATTTACTAATATCAGTAGGGTATTGAGTTTTCTTGGCAAGTGTTGTGGAATTTGTCAGTTTTACTATATAAATTTCACAGTCATTTTTGTAGCTGGTAATAACTACTTCTTGTGATGGAGCACTAAAAGTAGTTGTTTTAGAATGATGGTTTAAATGAAAAAATTGATTTTTCTGCTTTGTTATCTAATGAATTAGAAATAGTAAGTATATTTTATGACAACAAGCTTCATTTCATAATTGAGAAGACATCATGGTCTGTTAAGGTACAGAAATCAAAGGGTAAATGAATGAAGAAAAAGTTACTAAAGAAGTTAAATTACTTCCTATTCATTTCTTAGAACCAAAATATTCTATATAAAAACCAGTGACTAGCTCTCTTCAGTTGTCATAATTTTAAACAGATATTTGAAACTGGAAGACAGATTAAGGATTATCTGGTCCATCTGTTTTCACTCAGAACCCCTCAGAGTTGCAGGATTTTATAGAAATGCATGAGAAGTTATGGTATGGAGTGCAAAGAGAAGGAAGCTTGGAAGGCAAGGCTCTGGGTCATACTCAGTTAGAATTGCTTTGTTTTTTGACTGACATATATGTAAGATTCCACTTGATACTTTGTGTGAAATCAGAGTTCTGCTGCTAAAAAATATAAAATGCTCTTAAGAAAATCACTGATCTAGGTCATCTTCCTCATTTCACAGATAATAAAATTGAGGCTCAGTTCATTTAAAAACTTATTCATGAAAACATCTATTAACTGAGTGGCAGAATAAATTATTTATCAAAGAAACTTGCTAGGATATATTTATTATCCCTTACATTTATATATGATTTTAAAGGTTTCAAAGCAGGTTCATATCTGTTATTTGATTTGATTCTCAAAAAAATAACACTATTAAGTGGCTATAGAAAGCCTTAGTCCAATTTTAGAGATGAGGAGATGAGATTGAAAGAGACAAAGCCACCACAGTTATACCACATTCATGGTAGAATCAGAATGACAACTAAGTTTTCTTGACTCCCAGAAGTTTATCCTGGAGCATAGCTTTTTGTAATAATAGCTTGCCTAGGAAGTGAACATTTACAGAGATGTGGCACATATACTAAAACCCCGGTTAGCTGTCACCATAGGTTCTCAACCCACTGAGACCTTAAAAAAAACATCTAGACCTGCATTCCCATTTAACTGATGGAACTGAGATTCAAGCTAAATAAAGGAGCTTATATTTGGAGACAGGGCTTGAATTAAAATCCACATATCCTAAATTCAAATTAGTGTCTTTTCTACCAAACTGCACTGTATCAATTTGCAATATATGCTATTCAGTGAAAACACACACTCTTTTGTGAAAACACACATTCCTGCCAGTGTTCTGTATCTGTGCTTTTAATAACCTAGGTCCTCTATCTTAGAATGCCAAAGACCTTGCTGCAATGTAGTTATATATCCTCTGAGATGTGTGTGATAAGCCCTTTTATGAATTGCAATGTCCATACATGAGAAAGGAATGTTACTTGCGTGAGGAGGGATTATGGTCATCTAGCATTTGTATAGAAATTGTAGTTTTCCTGGTCAATTACTGTGAGACTTTGCAACTGAAGAAGTTGATACATGCTTTTCTGTCCAGGAGAAAGCATAAATTCCCATGTTTTCTGGATGAGGTCTCAGTCCATTAGAAGTTTAACACCCTTGAAAGGTGAGTAATGTTCTTTCTAGATCCCAGCCAATTCAGCCCTAAGGATTGTGCTAATTTAAACAATTGTTTTTCTAAATCTCTATCAGATCTATTAGAAGCATTTTTTCATACTTTTCTGTGTGTATTCTATTTCTACCCTTATGGCTTTCTCAACTGTAAAGCTTCTTTCCAAAACACACATGCAAAAGTAAATGTGATTTAACATATCGTCAGTAATAACATTAGTAGCACAATTACATAGTCTTTAATTGACCTTTGTCTATATTGGGATTTAGCAACCATATTTTTGGCAGTAAAAATGAAGAAAAAATATAAGCTACTCTCACGAACTTACAGTTTTCATTTAGTTGAAAATAAAATAAGAAATTATTGAATTTCTTGAATTATTGAAGAAGGTCCATTTGAATGGCACACTTCATGGGGGAAAACATGACTCCAATGGCAGAAATAAGTTAGCCATAGAAGATGTATTCCACAGCAACTGTTATGTACAAATTATTATCAAATGCACATTAAAAATGTCAAATACTGGTAAATAAATACTAGAGTTTGGATGAAGGTGAGGAGGTCAGTTATGAGGATAGGATCTGTTTAATAAATAGGATTGAGCAGGACAGGGAAGGTTCTAAGAAGAGAAAGAAGTCAAAGCGTAAAGGCAATGCTTCATGACCCCTAGAAGCTATAGCTCAGGGCTGCTACGTAGGGTTGTACAACTGTTCACAGCACAAAGGACTAACAAGTGGGACAGACAGAGGCTTAAATCCAAGTTGTCCATCCTGAAGATTTTTTCTCTTAAAGGAAGAGGTGCTATGGCATGCAGAATTTTAAATATGTCCTCTCCTCCCCAAAACTTCCCAAGATTTCTGTGCCTGGTTTATTTAATCAAACACCGATCTAGATACAATCATGAAGGGATTTTCCTAATGTAATCAATGTCCAAATCAGTGGACTATAAAATACACATATGATCTAAGTGAGACAGGCCTTATCACATGACCCCTTTAAAAGCAGAGAGTTTTCTCCTGCTGGTCACAGAAGAGAAAGAGAGAAATCCAAAGAACAAGGGTGATTCAACACACCTTTGCAGGCTCTGAAGATGGAGGGGGCCATGTGAGAAGAAATGTGGCTATCCATTAGGAGCTGAAAGGAGATCTCAGATGACAGCCATCAAGGGAGCAGGAGCCTCAGTCCTACAACTGTAAGAAACTGGATTCTGCCAACAACCTGAATGAGCTTGGAAGAAGGCTCTTCCCCAAAACTTGCAATAAAGGAGCACAGACTTTCCAACACCTTGATTTCAACCTTATGACACCCTGAGCAGAGAACCTAGTCTAGTCTAGCTGAACTTCTGAACTATAGACCCTGTGAGATGAAAAATAGGTGTTGTTTTAAGCCTCCAAGTATGTAGCAAATTATTATGGTAGCAATAGAAAACTAATACAGGCGCCTTAAAAAATATCAAGAGGCTTTACAACCTAGTAAGCTGCTCCCTTTGTGACTTTATGGCCTAGCTCTTCAGAAAAGCAGAGGAAAGTCTTAGAGGTGATCAATCACACATTTTCCTTTTTGATTCTCACTTCAAGTACCATCCCTTTCAGGGGAAGTTGTGACAATTGTTAGTGTAACTACTGACCTGAAAAGCTCAAAGGGTTGTTTGTTCTGCTTGTTTCCTTTTCACCTTTAGTGTCTTTCTCAGAACGTCATTAAGACTGACTTCATTGCAAACTCGTTAATTAAGCTAATTCTTCCATAAACAGATTTTTAGGTAAGGTTTTAAATTGTGAATGTCATTAAGTACTTCTTAGAGCTAGCATCCAGCTTATTGGAAAGAGGCAATAATTCATTAGGGCTTTCAGTGGGGCCATGTTGTGAGCTTGGAGGGGCTACGGGGAATAGGGTTGGACACCTAACCTTGTCAGTGAAAAAGCCAAGCCTCGTAACTAACTAATGTCTGGAATAAGTGACAGTAAAATTGTTACTCATCACACAGATGCTTCTTAAAACAAAACAAAACAACAACAACAACCCAAAACTCAGAAACATGGCTGAGTGGATACTGCTGAAATGTTGTATATTTTAATAAAAGAAAAGCAACTTTATTTTTCTACTATGGACTAAAAAACTATAAAATAACTTATACTTTGTATTTTTGCTTCTTTTTGTTCATCCACAGGCTAGGCTTTCTGATTTTCACAATCAAAGCAACACAGTGTTCAACAAGTAAGAAAAAAACTAGAGAAGAGGCCGGGCGCGGTGGCTCACGCCTGTAATCCCAGCACTTTGGGAGGCCGAGGCGGGTGGATCATGAGGTCAGGAGATCGAGACCATCCTGGCTAACAAGGTGAAACCCCGTCTCTACTAAAAAATACAAAAAATTAGCCGGGCGCGGTGGCGGGCGCCTGTAGTCCCAGCTACTCCGGAGGCTGAGGCAGGAGAATGGCGTGAACCCGGGAGGCGGAGCTTGCAGTGAGCCGAGATCATGCCACTGCACTCCAGCCTGGGCGACAGAGCCAGACTCCGTCTCAAAAAAAAAAAAAAAAAAAAAAAAAAAAACTAGAGAAGAATTCCAGTTAACTCTATTAGTTAGAAAGTTAACTAAAAGTTCCAGTTAACTCTTTGCATCATCTTTGATGCAAAAACAAATCAAAACAAATCAAATAAAAAATGTAGTTACATTAAATCTTATAAAGAAATTTTTTTTTGCTTTTTAAAGTGTACTTTATTGTGTGTGTGTATACATATACATATATATATATATATATATATATATATATATTTTTTTTTTAGCTTTAGAGGTTTCAAATTTCCCGAGAAAATGTAACTAAGATATGAACTCCTATGGCTAGCAACATGTTAACGTTATGAACATATTGTAACAGTTCCAGTTTATTTGTTGTTTTATAGTAAAGTAGAGCACAAGTCTAGGAGTAGTCTGCAGACTTTTATGACTTAATGGACTCTGAAGAAAAATAAAATAACTCTGTCACCTAAGGCTATAATCTCCAATGAAATGAATGAAAATGAAAGCATCATATATGCTATGACTAGATGAAAATAAATTTTATCATAAACAAACTGCTATTATGGCAAAGGAAATAGTAGTCCTGTTATGTAGGGATCACTACTCACTATCTCTAAATTATAGTACATCCTAAAATAGGAGTGCTGATACACAAAATATTACACTCCAGCTGAATGGACTCTGACAGTGTTTAAAATAACACAGTCATAAACTCAGGCATGTAAAGTGCTTTCCCTGAAACTTTTATTATTCATGAATTCCTGCTTAGACATTACTTCTTATTCCTGGGATTAAATAACTGGCTTATTCTCTTAATCAGTCTCATTTATCTACTTCATGGGTCTCCATTTCATTTCACCTAAACTACTTCTTAGAAATGGAAAATATAACAACATTTAAGAGAAGATGCTTTATCTCTATAATAAGGACTCTTTAAAGAAATGTGATTTTCGATTATGTTTAGTTTGGCCTATAAACACTGATTATTAATATGACATGGCAAAAAAACTAATAATGATTCCTCTTTGTCTCTATAAATAGAAAATAAAAAATTCTGAAGTCTTTTTTTAATGTTTATATACACCAAAGCAGAGCAGTCACAACACTGAAAATAGTCAATTGCTTTAAACAAGCTATTTGTGAATTTCTTTTTTTTTTTAATTTTCTTTTTTTTTATTACTATTATACTTTAAGTTTTAGGGTACATGTGCACATTGTGCAGGTTAGTTACATATGTATGCATGTGCCATGCTGGTGCGCTGCACCCACTAACTCGTCATCTAGCATTAGGTATATCTCCCAATGCTCTCCCTCCCCACTCCCCCCACCCCACAACAGTCCCCAGAGTGCGATGTTCCTCTTCCTGTGTCCATGTGTTCTCATTGTTCAGCTCCCACCTATGAGTGAGAATATGCGGTGTTTGGTTTTTTGTTCTTGCGATAGTTTACAGAGAATGATGATTTCCAATTTCATCCATGTCCCTACAAAGGACATGAACTCATCATATTTTATGGCTGCATAGTATTCCATGGTGTATATGTGCCACATTTTCTTAATCCAGTCTATCATTGTTGGACATTTGGGTTGGTTCCAAGTCTTTGCTATTGTGAACAATGCCGCAATAAACATACGTGTGCATGTGTCTTTATAGCAGCATGATTTATAGTCCTTTGGGTATATACCCAGTAATGGGATGGCTGGGTCAAATGGTATTTCTAGTTCTAGATCCCTGAGGAATCGCCACACTGACTTCCACAATGGTTGAACTAGTTTACAGTCCCACCAACAGTGTAAAAGTGTTCCTATTTCTCCACATCCTCTCCAGCACCTGTTGTTTCCTGACTTTTTAATGATTGCCATTCTAACTGGTGTGAGATGGTATCTCATTGTGGTTTTGATTTGCATTTCTCTGATGGCCAGTGAAGATGAGCATTTCTTCATGTGTTTTTTGGCTGCATAAATGTCTTCTTTTGAGAAGTGTCTGTTCATGTCCTTTGCCCACTTTTTGATGGGGTTGTTTGTTTTCTTCTTGTAAATTTGTTTGAGTTCATCGTAGATTCTGGATATTAGCCCTTTGTCAGATGAGTAGGTTGCGAAAATTTTCTCCCATTTTGTAGGTTGTCTGTTCACTCTGATGGTAGTTTCTTTTGCTGTGCAGAAGCTCTTTAGTTTAATTAGATCCCATTTGTCAACTTTGGCTTTTGTTGCCGTTGCTTTTGGTGTTTTAGACATGAAGTCCTTGCCCATGCCTATGTCCTGAATGGTAATGCCTAGGTTTTCTTCTAGGGTTTTTATGGTTTTAGGTCTAACGTTTAAGTCTTTAATCCATCTTGAATTGATTTTTGTATACGGTGTAAGGAAGGGATCCAGTTCAGCTTTCTACATATGGCTAGCCAGTTTTCCCAGCACCATTTATTAAATAGGGAATCCTTTCCCCATTGCTTGTTTTTTTCAGGTTTGTCAAAGATCAGATAGTTGTAGATATGCGGCGTTATTTCTGAGGGCTCTGTTCTGTTCCATTGATCTATATCTCTGTTTTGGTACCAGTACCATGCTGTTTTGGTTACTGTAGCCTTGTAGTATAGTTTGAAGTCAGGTAGTGTGATGCCTCCAGCTTTGTTCTTTTGGCTTAGGATTGACTTGGTGATGTGGGCTCTATTTTGGTTCCATATGAACTTTAAAGTAGTTTTTTCCAATTCTGTGAAGAAAGTCATTGGTAGCTTGATGGGGATGGCATTGAATCTGTAAATTACCTTGGGCAGTATGGCCATTTTCACGATATTGATTCTTCCTACCCATGAGCATGGAATGTTCTTCCATTTGTTTGTATTCTCTTTTATTTCCTTGATCAGTGGTTTGTAGTTCTCCTTGAAGAGGTCCTTCACATCCCTTGTAAGTTGGATTCCTAGGTATTTTATTCTCTTTGAAACAATTGTGAATGGGAATTCACTCATGATTTGGCTCTCTGTTTGTCTGTTGTTGGTGTATAAGAATGCTTGTGATTTTGGTACATTGATTTTATATTCTGAGACTTTGCTGAAGTTGCTTATCAGCTTAAGGAGATTTTGGGCTGAGACAATGGGGTTTTCTAGATATACAATCATGTCATCTGCAAACAGGGACAATTTGATTTCCTCTTTTCATAATTGAATACCCTTTATTTCCTTCTCCTGCCTAATTGCCCTGGCCAGAACTTCCAACACTATGTTGAATAGGAATGGTGAGAGAGGGCATCCATGTCTTGTGCCCGTTTTCAAAGGGAATGCTTCCAGTTTTTGCCCATTCTTTATGATATTGGCTGTGGGTTTGTCATAGATAGCTCTTATTATTTTGAAATATGTCCCATCAATAACTAATTTATTGAGAGTTTTTAGCATGAAGCATTGTTGAATTTTGTCAAAGGCCTTTTCTGCATCTATTGAGATAAACATGTGGTTTTTGTCTTTGGCTCTGTTTATATGCTGGATTACATTTATTGATTTGCATATATTGAAACAGCCTTGCATCCCAGGGATGAAGCCCACTTGATCATGGTGGATAAGCTTTTTGATGTGCTGCTGGATTCGGTTTGCCAGTATTTTAGTGAGGATTTTTGCATCAATGTTCATCAAGGATTTTGGTCTAAAATTCTCTTTTTTGCTTGTGTCTCTGCCCGGCTTTGGTATCAGAATGATGCTGGCCTCATAAAATGAGTTAGGGAGGATTCCCTCTTTTTCTATTGATTGGAATAGTTTCAGAAGGAATGGTACCAGTTCCTCCTTGTACCTCTGGTAGAATTCGGCTGTGAATCCATCTGGTCCTGGACTCTTTCTGTTTGGTAAGCTATTGATTATTGCCACAATTTCAGATCCTGTTATTGGTCTATTCAGAGATTCAACTTCTTCCTGGTTTAGTCTTGGGAGAGTGTATGTGTCGAGGAATTTATCTATTTCTTCTAGATTTTCTAGTTTATTTGTGTAGAGGTGTTTGTAGTATTCTCTGATGGTAGTTTGTATTTCTGTGGGATCGGTGGTGATATCCCCTTTATCATTTTTTATTGCGTCTATTTGATTCTTCTCTCTTTTTTCCTTTATTAGTCTTGCTAGCGGTCTATCAATTTTGTTGATCCTTTCAAAAAACCAGCTCCTGGATTCATTAATTTTTTGAAGGGTTTTTTGTGTCTCTATTTCCTTCAGTTCTGCTCTGATTTTAGTTATTTCTTGCCTTCTGCTAGCTTTTGAATGTGTTTGCTCTTGCTTTTCTAGTTCTTTTAATTGTGATACTAGGGTGTCAATTTTGGATGTTTCCTGCTTTCTCTTGTGGGCATTTAGTGCTATAAATTTCCCTCTACACACTGCTTTGAATGCGTCCCAGAGATTCTGGTATGTTGTGTCTTTGTTCTCATTGGTTTCAAAGAACATCTTTATTTCTGTCTTCATTTCATTATGTACCCAGTAGTCATTCAGGAGCAGGTTGTTCAGTTTCCATGTAGTTGAGCAGTTTTGAGTGAGATTCTTAATCCTGAGTTCTAGTTTGATTGTACTGTGGTCTGAGAGACAGTTTGTTCTAATTTCTGTTCTTTTACATTTGCTGAGGAGAGCTTTACTTCCAAGTATGTGGTCAATTTTGGAATAGGTGTGGTGTGGTGCTGAAAAAAATGTATATTCTGTTGATTTGGAGTGGAGAGTTCTGTAGATGTCTATTAGGTCTGCTTGGTGCAGAGCTGAGTTCAATTCCTGGGTATCCTGGTTGACTTTGTGTCTGGTTGATCTGTCTAATGTTGACAGTGGGGTGTTAAAGTCTCCCATTATTATTGTGTGGGAGTCTAAGTCTCTTTGTAGGTCACTCAGGACTTGCTTTATGAATCTGGGTACTCCTGTATTGGGTGCATATATATTTAGGATAGTTAGCTCTTCTTGTTGAATTGATCCCTTTACCATTATGTAATGGCCTTCTTTGTCTCTTTTGATCTTTGTTGGTTTAAAGTCTGTTTTATCAGAGACTAGGATTGCAACCCCTGCCTTTTTTTGTTTTCCATTTGCTTGGTAGATCTTCCTCCATCCTTTTATTTTGAGCCTATGTGTGTCTCTGCATGTGAGATGGGTTTCCTGAATACAGCACACTGATGGGTCTTGACTCTTTATCCAATTTGCCAGTCTGTGTCTTTTAATTGGAGCATTTAGTCCATTTACATTTAAAGTTAATATTGTTATGTGTGAATTTGATCCTGTCATTATGATTTTAGCTGGTTATTTTGCTCGTTTGTTGATGCAGTTTCTTCCTAGTCTCGATGGTCTTTACATTTTGGCATGATTTTGCAGCAGCTGGTACCGGTTGTTCCTTTCCATGTTTAGCGCTTCCTTCAGGAGCTCTTTTAGGGCAGGCCTGGTGGTGTCAAAATCTCTCAGCATTTGCTTGTCTATAAAGTATTTTATTTCTCCTTCACTTATGAAGCTTAGTTTGGCTGGATATGAAATTCTGGGTTGAAAATTCTTTTCTTTAAGAATGTTGAATATTGGCCCCCACTGTCTTCCGGCTTGTAGGGTTTCTGCCGAGAGATCTGCTGTTAGTCTGATGGGCTTCCCTTTGAGGGTAACCCAACCTTTCTCTCTGTTGCCCTTAACATTTTTTCCTTCATTTCAAGTTTGGTGAATCTGACAATTCTGTGTCTTGGAGTTGCTCTTCTCGAGGAGTATCTTTGTGGCGTTCTCTGTATTTTCTGAATCTGAACATTGGCCTGCCTTGCTAGATTGGGGAAGTTCTCCTGGATAATATCCTGCAGAGTGTTTTCCAACTTGGTTCCATTCTCCCTGTCACTTTCACGTACACGAATCAGTCGTAAATTTGGTCTTTTCACATAGTCCCATATTTCTTGGAGGCTTTGCTCGTTTCTTTTTATTCTTTTTTCTCTAAACTTCCCTTCTCACTTCATTTCATTCATTTCATCTTCCATTGCTGATACCCTTTCTTCCAGTTGATCGCATCGGCTCCTGAGGCTTCTGCATTCTTCACATATTTCTCGAGCCTTGATTTTCAGCTCTATCAGCTCCTTTAAGCACTTCTCTGTATTGGTTATTCTAGTTATACATTCTTCTGAATTTTTTTCAAAGTTTTTAACTTCTTTGCCTTTGGTTTGAATGTCCTCCCGTAGCTCAGAGTAATTTGATCGTCTGAAGCCTTCTTCTCTCAGCTCGTCAAAGTCATTCTCCGTCCAGCTTTGTTCCATTGCTGGTGAGGAACTGCGTTCCTTTGGAGGAGGAGAGGCGCTCTGCTTTTTAAAGTTTCCAGTTTTTCTGTTCTGTTTTTTCCCCATCTTTGTGGTTTTACTTTTGGTCTTTGATGATGGTGATGTACAGATGGGTTTTTGGTGTGGATGTCCTTTCTGTTTGTGAGTTTTCCTTCTAACAGACAGGACCCTCAGCTGCAGGTCTGTTGGAGTTTGCTAGAGGTCCACTCCAGAACCTGTTTGCCTGGGTATCAGCAGCGATGTCTACAGAACCGCAAATTTTCCTGAACCGCTAATGCTGCTGTCTGATTGTTCCTCTGGAAGTTTTGTCTCAGAGGAGTACCCGGCCGTGTGAGGTGTCAGTCTGCCCCTGCTGGGGGGGTGCCTCCCAGTTAGGCTGCTTGGGGGTCAGGGGTCAGGGACCCACTTGAGGAGGCAGTGAGCCCATTCTCAGATCTCCAGCTGGGTGCTGGGAGAACCACTGCTCTCTTCAAAGCTGTCAGACAGGGACATTTAAGTCTGCAGAGGTTACTGCTGTCTTTTTGTTTGTCTGTGCCCTGCCCCCAGAGATGGAGCCTACAGAGGCAGGCAGGCCTCCTTGAGCTGTGGTGGGCTCCACCCAGTTGGAGCTTCCCGGCTGCTTCGTTTACCTAAGCAAGCCTGGGCAATGGCGGGTGCTCCTCCCCCAGCCTTGCTGCTGCCTTGCAGTTTGATCTCAGACCGCCGTGCTAGCAATCAGCGAGACTCCATGGGTGTAGGACCCCCCATTCCCAGCCAGATGTGGGATATAATCTCGTGGTGCGCCGTTTTTTAAGCTCGTGGGAAATGCGCAGTATTTGGGTGGGAGTGACCCGATTTTCCAGGTGCGTCCGTCACCCCTTTATTTGACTAGGAAAGGGAACTCCGTGACCCCTTGCGCTTCCTGAGTGAGGCAATGCCTCGCCCTGCTTCGGCTCACGCACGGTGCACGCACCCACTGACCTGCGCCCACTGTCTGGCACTCCGTAGTGAGATGAACCCGGTACCTCAGGTGGAAATGAAGAAATCACCCGTCTTCTGCGTCGCTCAGGCTGGGAGCTGTAGACCGGAGCTGTTCCTATTCGGCCATCTTGGCTCCTCCCCGTGACTTTCAAATAAAACTGTAAGTGCTTGAATTCAAAGATAATCTCTATAAAATCATTTTTTTCTGAGAATGTGAAAATGTTGTAGCTCTTTTTGATAATGAATTTTAGGGGTTTGGTTTATTTATTACCCTTTGGTTCATTTTTTGGCTTATGCTTACCATTTGTTCTTTCTAAAATTACCCTTTAGTTACAACTGAATTGAAATACGAAAGTAATTATTTGTCATTATATATTTTTTAAAACTGAAATGCTGATCTGGAAAATGTCAGATAGTGAATGAAAGCCAATCTACATTTTCTAAGTGCTGCATTTACTTTCTTCTACATCATTTTAAAAAGAAGCTGATATATTAATAAAGATATTGTATTTATTCTCATAAAATTTATAACACTCTGTGTTTCCACAGTATTTATGACAAAGAACGATTTCCAAGAGAAGAGCTGACAGGATTTTTATGATGAATGCTTACTCAAATGGGGTTTTCAGTTTAATGACAGTGTCAAATCCAGGGATAAGCAGGTAACCCTACAGAAAGTTGGAGAACAAAATTGGGAAATCTAAAAGAAGGAAATAGTAAGGCAAGTCTCATAGGTAATATAAAGACCAGTCATGTGATATTAGAGAACAAGACCTAGGAAGACACTGAGCAAGAGTGACGTAAGCTTGTAGCCTTTGAGTTACTCAAAACTATGGAGACAAAATGTAGAGCCTAGATTTTGAGAATGAAGCACAAACACAGTGATCAGGGCATCAAGCCAGGATTGGATCTCTTTTATCTAAAGATGAGATTAATCTTAATAACTGGGACATGGCTCAGCCAGCCCATAGAAGGCAATAGCTGAACCTGAGGAGGATAAAGGACTACAAAAGTTTGGGAATGGGTCTAGGCAAGGGTTTCTCAACATTAGCACTATCGGCATTTTGGATTGGATAATTAATTACTTGTTGTGGAAGGCTGCCTGGGTAGTATATTTAGCAGCATCCCTGGCCTCTACTCCGTAGATGCCAGTAGCACTCACCACCTTAGAGTTGTAATATCCAAAAATATCTCTAGACACTGCAAAATGTCCCCTGTGGGGCCAAATCACCTCAGGTTGAGAGCCACCTGTTTAGAGTATAGGATAGGCTCAATTGGCTGTAGAGACAAGCCGAACTATATGGCTGAGGAGTTTGAAGTGGAGAGCAAGAAGCAGTTTCTGACCACCAATAAAAGAGAGTGCACTAAAAATGGACTTGAAAATGGTCTAGTAATTTTTCTTGAAGGAATATTAACACAAATGCTACTGACCACAAAGAACTTGGTTCTTTGCTTGCCTTCCAACAACTGATTGAATAAATATATACTGTGCTTCTTTATGCCTGGCTTTAGAGTGGACAAATAAATGGAATAAGCGAGGACCCGGTTCCAGTTTATTCTATACAGAATAACCTGGTTCCTAGTCAGGGATCATAAGGAAATAAGGAATTGTAGAATTTATCATGGAATAAACTAGATTCTTTAAATGCCAAAATTATTCTCTGGCAATGCCTATTTGCACTAAAATAGTAATTTGATAACTTGGGTAAAAGGCCTGAAGAAGTGATGCAGAATTCAAAAATAATTAATTTAGCTTATGGAAATAGTTTGTTCACTGTGACAGAGGGAAGTATGCTTGAATTACTCTTACTCAAAGAAAGGTTTCTTGACACATTTGACTACTACCATTGAGTAATATATACATGGTAAATGATTAATGATAACTTGGAGAAGTAATTTAACAAGTACTTCTTAAACCTCAACGTACATAGAAATTATCTGGGGTGGAGATTTTGTTAAAATGCAGATTCTAATTTTGTGGGTCTGAAGTGAGGCCTGAAATTGTGCAGTTCTAATAACCTCCCAGGTGATGCTTAGGCTTGGCCCACAGACCACAACTGAAGTAAAGATTTCAGTTCACTGCTTGTTAATTTCTTCATCCATAAAATGAAGGGTTTAGGTTATATAAATCTGTGGTTTCTTTTAACCATGACTTTTGTTGGTCTGCCTGATTTTGAATTAATACTTTCTATGTTGTTTTTGTTTCCATTCGGTTTAGGGTAAGAACGTATTCCTTTCAAAATCTTATTGATTTTTTTTTCTTTTGTTACCTGTGTAATTATGTACTATAATAGCTTATATAAATAACTTTCTTTTCCCCATTCTAGCCAGACAGAGAGAAACCTGAAATAAAGTGCTTTTTGGATAAAGCATTTAGCTTTTTGCTATAAGAGAGTTGCCAGAAAAAAAAAAAAAAAAGCAAGTTTGTATATTTGGCTTTCCAGGGCTACTTTGTATCAGTCTGGGTAATAATTTCCCATATGGTTTGGAAAGAGTGAAAGCAGAATTTGGAGGCTGAGTGGCTTTTCCAATTTGATTACTACAAGAAAGAGAGAATCAGATTCTTCACAGTGGATTCACAAATGTATTCCAGATTTTTCTCCCATTTGAATCTAGCTTGAGACATATAAAACCAAATATTGTGTTTTTCAGTATCCACAATTATGAATTTTCTGTGTGATCACCACCTTTGACTGATATGGATAACAAGGGATTGACTGTACAGACTCAATGTACACTCAAATTGTTTCATGGAAAGCCTTTTACCTGCCAGTTCTCATATGCCATTTTTGAGTGTGTCATCTCTTAATTGCAGCTGATTTCCACTTCCTAAAGAAAGGTTTTCATTTGGAGTTTTAGAATACTGTGTCCTTGTGTAAAGGTGCCATTTTGGTCTTAATTTAGTTAAGATGCTAGAGCCACTCAGATGTACCCTGCTTCTTATGAAGATGTTTATTTTGGAGGCAGGTAATCCATGTACAGGTGTGATACGTGTAATTTTGCAATCCTACAAAAATGCTCTTTTCATTAACTGTAGCATTGGTTACTGTAAACCAAATCTTCTTTTTAGACGTGTATTCACAGCTCATGTCAACATCACTGGGTGTCACATGTGTGTTTATAAGGGAGGGTTCTTGCTAAATGTTGTTTCTATTCTCCATATCTGAACTTTAATGGGTGGCTCTGGATCACAGGAATTATGCTGTATTTGTAAAATTAATTTACCATTTGCTTTTTAAATACATATGGTAGTTACACCTCTGTAGTAAGTACCACATATAGCTAAACAAAACAGAACATAGAGATACATCTGCCTTCTAGGACATTCAGTCCTAGAAATAATTCTCAGTGGATCTGTCTCTCTCTCTCTCTCTCTCTCAACCTCTCTCTCTCTGTGTGTGTGTTTGCATATGCATGTTGGTGGGGAGAAGGAAGAGAGTGTTTGGGTACATTATTACAGTAAGAAATTGAAGACATTTTATCTTTTACATAGTTTTGTTTTTTCTGTTATTGGGGCAAAAAAGAATGCTAAAAGAAGGTGGAAGCAGGACAATGAACAGAGCATCATAGAAAAGAGTGAAGGGCAAAGATAGGAATTAAAAGCTTATTCCAAGGGACAAGAGTACATTTTCAGTCATGGTTAGTATGTGGGCTACCTTGCTCCATCTTTGTTTCTGTGGATGTTATACATCGACAGGAGAGAGATTTCATGAAATACATTTCTTCCCTTTTGTAGGCTGGCTTATCCACTGTAAAATTTGTGCATTGTATTACTGTTCAGTAGCTCAGAAATACTGCTTCTATGCCTCTCTAAATGATGGCTGTAGAAATCCTGTAGTAAACAAGCATGGCTGGTCTGCTTATGGGGTGGGGGGAGCGGGGAGGGATAGCATTAGGAGATATACTTAATGCTAAATGACGAGTTAATGGGTGCAGCACACCAACATGGCACATGTATACATATGTAACAAACCTGCACGTTGTGCACATGTACCCTAAAACTTAAAGTATTATAATAATGAAATTTAAAATAAAAGAAAAACAATATTAGTGCCATCTTTCTGTTTTGGAAAAATGGCTGCAGGCTATTTTATCAGCAGTTTTATCACACTGACACTTTCATATTACAAAGTTTGAATTACTTGACAGTAACCCTTTTTTTTCCAAGTGATCTTTTTGTTGTTGTTTATCTGGTTCATCTGTGTTCTCCCTGATTGCACTGGCTTACCTAACTGGACAGCTGGAATATGTTAGAGAGTAGGCTGCTCTGAGAAACAAAATTGTTCCTTTGGAAAATTTTCCAGGAGTTACTGGAAGATCTTTAAGGCCCCTTTCATTTCGAAAAGACTTGGGTTCTACATCTAGTGCAGTCTTTTATTTGAATTTATTTTCCTTTATCAAGAAGAATGCTCTCTGTGAATGCCTTTAGTGACTACTGAGACCATGAAAAAAAAAAATAGCCTAATAAAGAAAACATAACAATTAAAATATTTTTCAGAATCTTTTATATTTTTGTTTATTTATGTCTGTTAACTTGGAACTCCTATTCCTGGTTCCTGTCCTCCATCCACGCTAGAAGGTTAGTTTCTTAATAGCATTATCAGGAATTTTTTTTACAAGGCCATTGCCTTGCTGGTTAAATGACCTTTAACTAAAAGGAGAGAGATGTCTTATATTTCAAGGAAATACTATAAGTCAATGTTAATGCAATTTTTTTTTGTTGAAAATAAATCATGTGACTGTGATATCACTTTTAGCTTCATGTTTTGCCATGGTAATATTTTAATGAATTCTCTTTACTCTTGCTAGAGCTAAAAATAAATGCTTGGTAAATCTGATGCTTCCTGAATTTATGACATGACTGACTTCTTCATACTCAATAACATTTATTAAAACCATATTTTCTTGTAAGAAGCTCTAAAAACAGATTCTTTTGTCTCTTTATTTTTTTTTTCTGTTGTCTCCTTCACTCAAGAGGTAGCTAAGCTATTCTTTACTTATTTAGTAATTCTGTTGCAATTTGATATTTACTATTATTCTACACAATGCCTGAAAAGGAAAGAGGCAATCTTATAAAATGACTTCCTACTGAGGTTTTATCCTGGCCTCATTAGCTCTGCACTCAAGATCCATAAAAACAGCTTACCAGATGTGTGGTTTATAACTGCTTGAATAGCTCTTTCTGCCGGAAGATTTATAAATCTTAGCTCATACCATGTATAGACCATGATTTTTAGTTCCAGATAGCTATCACGCATCCTTATCACTGGCACCAGCAATTCTTTGTACCTGGGCTCTGTAGTGTATTATCTCATTACTGACTGGCAGTTGAGTCATAGCATATCGACCCTTGAAAATCTCCTCTTAATAACTGCCATGTATTATTCAGTTAGCACTGCTTCATAATTAATACTCTGTTAACATGCTATCTACTGGTATCACGATGGTAATTTCCTGCTCACACATGGCATACTATTGATATTCTCAAAGGAGTTTCTATTCAATGCTATGATTTTTAGAGACAGAGTCCTCATTACTAGTCAAACCTGTGATCCTGGGTAAATAATGCTCATGTTTTTATCTTATATGTCTCACCAGCCAGGAAAAGAGAGCCACAATTTATTAGTTTTGCCAAGCTGGCTGGAAGTGATATTATAAAATAATTAGATTACATTTCATGAGTAGTTTGTGGCTTTACAGAATTAGGCATCTAGAGTTATAAAGAGCTCATTCCCCGTGTAATTTCACTGATGCAAAAACTGAGGTCCAGGGAAAGTTGTCTTCCAGTTAGTGTCCGAGGTTGAAGCTAGCTCTCTTAACTTCCAGTTGGGACTCTTTCAACAT
Source organism: Homo sapiens (assembly GCF_000001405.40). NCBI lineage: Eukaryota > Metazoa > Chordata > Mammalia > Primates > Hominidae > Homo > Homo sapiens. Next base: position 4,967,535 of record NC_000024.10, on the reverse strand, counting down.
GAAGCTCCTAAGTTTTCATCATCATATCTTACTGAGTTATACAGGGTCATTACTCATGCTATACCTGCCATACAAAAATCCACTGAAATACTAATTCTAGTGATTAAAGGGCTGCTTTGCAAGTTGTTACCTTGGAATCCTGTGGCAGGCTGAAATTGGGCACAACTTCACACAACATAAGATTTAAAATGTAAAATAAAACTGGAAAGTAATGTTGCTAATGTTATTATTTTAAATTATTGTGCCCCAGAGAAAAAAGAGGTTACCTTATGTGTGTAAGTGCTTTGAATACAATTGATTCACAAATGTGAATTGATAGCATTGCCTTTTATTAGTTAAACAACAAATAGTTCTCTGGCGGAAACAGGTTTCATGCCCCCAAGTTTTAGACATGCAGGCACTATTGGTGCTAGTTATGCCCGTATCATTCGCTTGTTGAATGAATGTGTTGAGATTAAATGTATCAACATATGTAGATGAGTTAAAAGAATGTCTGGTGTGTGATAAATTCTGTGTTAGCTATTATGTTTTTAAAATAATGGTTAAGAACCTGGAGTCTGCAGTGGGAATGCATGGATGCAAATACTTGGTTCTACCGTTTACTTCCTATGTTACTTTGCTCTAAGTTTTTTTTTGCCTCAGTTTATTGATCTATAAAATGGGAACATCGATAGTATGTAACATAGGTCATTTATAAGGATATACATTAATACACATAAAGCACTTAGAACAGTGTCTGGCAGACAGAAAACACTTTATAAGTGGTAGTTGGTATTTTTAAAGGTTATTCATGCATTCATTTATCTTAAAATACCTTTTTCACCCCTGCTATGTTCTACTCATGATGGGGATAAAGTCCATAGAGGGAAGAAGGCAAGTAAACATGCACTCTACAGATTTATTAATAATATGCTGTCAGGAATGCAGTGTGTTCACATTCTACCGAGTTATTAATATGCTGTGATGAATGCAGTGTGTCCACAGCATAAAAGCATCCTACTCTGTGTGTTTATGTACGTTAGTGGGCGAGTGACTGGGAGGTGGGATTGGTTAGGGTGGTAGATGAGAGATCAATGGCTCAAGGAAGGCTTCCTAGAAGAGATTTTATTTAGGCTGATAAATAAAGCATGAATAGGAGTTAGGAGGGGGCAAGTGGGATGAAAGGAAGAGAGAATTCATTAGCAAAGGAAATACAGAGAAAGCACAGTAAAATGCAAGCGTATAAAATAACTTGAGAATGGCAGCCCTAGGAAACTAATACACCGAGACACGTTGGTTAGTTTACTTGTGTTTGTGTGGCTAGCTTTGTTTTTTTTTTTTTTTTTTTTTTTAATATGTTACTAAGCATTGTCTGGCATTGTTTGGCTTTCCCCTCCCCCCAGTTAACTATCTACAGAATTTTTGGATTGGGTAGAGGTAACTAGCTTCAGTGTCAATTTACTGACATATACAAAGAGAAAATGATTGAGATTCTGCATCTTCAAATCATTTAAAAGCTTTAAAAATACTTTAAAGTGTGTTAAGCTCATTATTATTATTAGTTGTTCCTATTATTATCTTCAGCATTATTGTTTTCTATTGGACAAAGAGCTACCATTTGTTTGCAAAGTGCACAGAATGTGAGTTCATGCTTTCTTCTTTGACATAGATGCCTTTCTTCCTTTTTCCCCACCTTTATGGGCCGCTGTAACAAATTCTCACAAACTTAGTGGCTTAAAACAAAAGATATTTATTTTTCTCTCAGTTTTGGATGCCAGAAGTCCAAAATTAAGGTGTCATCAGGGTTGTGCTTCCTCAGAAGCCTCTCAAGGAGAATTCATTTGTTGCTTTCTCCAGCTTCTGAGGGTGATAGCCTTTCTTTTATTCATGGCTGCATCACAGCGATCATTGCCTCCTTGGTCAAATTGCCTTTTCCTCTTAGGCCTAATATCCCTCTGCCTTGTTCTCATAAGAACACTTGTCATTGGATTTAGGGCCCACTGGGATAATCCAGGATAACTTCTTTGGTAAGCATTCATTGCATTACTCACCTTCTCATCTGTTTTCCCCTTTTACATTTCCACCCTTGAATCTTTTCCTAAGAAGATCAACAACCATATTGTTTTAAGCTATCTTAATGTCTTCAATTTCATAATACTTTCACATAAATGCTAATACCATTTGTATATTAACTCTGAGGTAGTCATTTCAGAATTATTGCTCTTTATAGGTGGAGAAACAGACAGGAAAGCCAAAGGAGCAGAGCTAGGCTTAAATCCCAGTTTGTTGTTCTTTCTGTTACATGAAACTTTTGTGGGCACGTAAATCACTTGGTACCTTGTTAAAATACAGATTATGATACTGTTCATATGGGAGGAGACTGAGACTTTTCATTTCTCTGATATTCACAGGCAATTTTGATGCTGCTGGTCTTCAAGGCATACATTGGGTAACAAAGACGCTTTAGGTGATAGATTTATAACAGAAGTTAGAAGTCCAGTCTAAAAGGTTTTAAATAATTATAGCTTTAATCTTTATTTGTCTGGTTTGTGACCACGTGTTTACAAAGCAAAATAAAATTACAGATATTTGAATGTCAAAAACAGATGTGACATTTAAACTCTCACAGAATAGAGAAGACAGAGAAAGATGGTGGAATAGAAGGCTCCATTGATCATCTCCCACTCCCAACAAACACCCAGTTAGCAAGCATCTACACAGAAAAAGCACCTTCATGACAACCAAAAACCAAGTAAGCGCTCATAGCACTAGTTTTAACTTCATATTTCTGAAAGAGGCACTGAAGAGATAAAAAAAAAAAAAAGTACTGAATCACCAATACCACCTAACCTCCCACCACTGGCAGCAGCAGCAGCTGCATGGTGTGGAGAGCTTTTCTGGGCACTAAGGGAGGGAGAATACAGCAATTGTGAGGCTTGAACTCAGTGCCGTCCTGTTAGAGCAGAAAGGAAAAACAGACCAAACTCAGCTGATGCCTGCCCTTGGAGAATGAATTTAAAGTAGCCCTAGCCAGAGGAGAATCACCCATCCCAGCTTAAGGACCCAAACTTGAGTTCCCACAAACCTTACCACCATGGGCTGCAGCACTCTCTATCTCCAAGTAAACTTGAAAGGCAGTCTAGGCCATAAGGACTGCAACTCTTAGGCAAGTCTTAGGGCTGAACTGGGCCCAGAGACAGTGGACTGGGTAGGCACATGACCTACTGATACACCAGCTGTGGCAGGGTCAAGGGCATGCTGGCATCACCTCTTTTCTAACCCCAGGCTACACAACTTTTGGCTCCAAAAGAGATCCCTTCCTTCTGCTTGAGGAGAGGAGAGGGAAGAGCGGGGAGGACTCTGTTTTGCGTCTTGGATACCAGCTCAAACAAAGCAGGATAGGGCACAAGACAGAGTTGTGAGGGCTCTGTTCAGGCCGTAGTTCCCAGATAACATTTCTAGGCACACCCTGGGCCAGAAAAGAACCTGCTTCCTTGAAGGAAAAGACCCATTCCTAATAACATTCATCACCTGCCAACTGGAGAGCCCTTGGGCACTGAGTAACCAGCAGTGATACCAAGGAACTACATCAAAGGTCTTGGGTGAACCTCTGAGGCTTTCTGGCTTCAGGTGAGACTCAGAACAATATCAGCTGTGGTATCTATGGGGCAAAACTCCTTCTTGAGAAAAGAAGAGGGAAAAGGAAAGGGGACTTTATCTGGCACCTTAGGTAACAGCATGGCCACAGAGGAGCAGAGCACCAAGCGGGCTTTGGGAGTTCCCAATTCCAGGACATGACTCTTAGATAGCATTTATGGCCTTAACCTGGGTCAGAAAGGAGCCCACTTCTCTGAAAGGAGAGTCCCAGGCCAGACAGCATTTATCACAAGATGACTTAAGAGCCTTTGGGACTTAAGGGAACATTGGTTGGAAGTCTGGCAGTACACTTCACGGCCTGAGGTGGCAGTGGTTACAGGGTGAGACTCCTCTGCCTTTGGAAAGGAGAGGGAAGAGTGGGAAGAACTGTGATTTGAGTGCCAGCTCAGATGCAATACAGTAGAACACCAGGTAGACTTCTAAGGCTTTTGACTATAGTCCCTGACCCCTGGACAGCACATCTGGACCCATGTGGGACCTGGGGAATCTTGACACCCTGAAGGGAAAAACACAGGCCTGGCTGGCTTTGCCATTGGCTGATTGTAAAGCCCTGGGGTCTTGAGTGAACATAGGCAGTAGCTAGAGAGTGGTTCCAGCAAGCCTTCAGTGAGACCCAGCACTGTTCTGGCTTCAGGTCTGACCCAGCACAGTCATAGCAATGGTGTCAACAGGGGTTCTTGTGTCACTCCACCTTCAGCTTTAGGTGGCTCAGAACAGACAGAAAGACTCTTTGTTTGGCAGAAAGTAAGGGAAGAGAATAAGAGTCTCTGCCTGGTAATCCAGAAAATTCTCCTAGATCTTGTCCAAGACCATCAAGGCAGTACCTCTATGAGTCCGGAAGAATCATAATGTTACTGGACTTTGGGTGCCCCCTAAAGGGGACAAAGGTTAGATCACAACACCCAATCACTCAAACATTTGGAAAGCCTTCCCAAGGAAGATGGCTACAAATAAGCTCAGACAGTGAAAACTATCATAAATACAGAACTCTTCAATGCCCAGACACCAAAGAACATCTACTGGCATAAACACCATCTGGGAAAGCATTACCTCATTAAACGAACTAAGTAAGGCAACAGGAATCAATCTTAGAGAAACAGAGATTTGTGATGCTTCAGGCAGAGAATTCAAAAGAGCTGTGTTGAGGAAACTCAAAGAAATTCAAGATAACACAGAGAAGGAATTCAGAATTCTATCAGATGAATTTAACCAAGATATCAAAATAATTAAAAAGGCTCTAATATTCACGCCTGTAATCCCAGCACTTTGGGAGGCCGAGGAGGGCGGGTCATGAGGTCGGGAGATGAGACCATCCTGGCTAACACGGTGAAACCCCGTCTCTACTAAAAATACAAAAAATTAGCTGGGTATGGTAGCAGGCACCTGTAGTCCCAGCTACTTGGGAGGCTGAGGCAGGAGAATGGTGTGAACCCAGGAGGTGGAGCTTGCAGTGAGCTGAGATCACGCCACTACACTCCAGCCTGGGCGACAGAGCGAGACTCTGTCTCCCCCCACAAAAAAAAAAAAAGGCTCAAATATAAATTCTGTTGCTGAAAAATGCAATTGGCATACTGAAGAATGTATCAATATATTTTAATAGCAGAATCGATAAAGCAGAATAAAGAATTAGTGAGCTTGAAGATAGGCTCAGAACACACAAATGAAAAAAGAATTTAAAAAATGAAGAATGCCTACGGGATCTAGAAAATAACCTCAAAGGGCAAATCTAAGAGTTACTAGCATTAAAGAGGAGGTAAAGAAACAGGGGTAGAAAGTTTATTCGAAGGGATAATAACAGAAAACTTCCTACACCTGGAGAAAGATATCAGTATCCAAGCACAGGAACATTACAGAACACAAAGCAGATTTAACCCAAAGAAGACAACCTCAAGGCATTTAATAACACACTCCCAAAGGTCAAAAATTAGGAAACAGTCCTATAAGGAGCAAGAGACAAGAAACAAACACAATGGAGCCCCAATACATCTGGCAGCAGACTTTTCAGTGGAAACCTTACAGGTCAGGAGACAGTGGCACGACATATTTAAAGTGCTGAATGAAAAAAAATGTACCCTAGAACCGTATGTCTGGCAATAATATCCTTCAAACTCATAAGAAGAAGAAATAAAGATTTTACCAGATAAACAAAAGCTGAGGGATTTCATCAACACTAGACCTGAACTACAAGAAATGGTAAAGGGAATATTACAATCAGAAAGAAAAAGACACTGGCCAGACACAGAGGCTTATACCTGTAATCCCAGGACATTGGGAGGCCAAGATTGGTCCACATGGTGAAACCCCATCTCTACTAAAAATACAAAAAATTAGCCAAGCACGGTGGTGCATGCCTGTAATCCCACCTACCCGGGAGGCTGAGGCAGGAAAATCACTTGAACCCAGGAGGTGGAGGCTGCAGTGAGCCAAGATTGTGCCACTGCACTCCAGCCTGGGCAACAGAATGAGACTCTGTGTCAAAAAAATAATAATAAAATAAAATAAAAAAGAAAGAAAGAAAAGGACATTAATGTGCAATAAGTAATCTCCTGAAGGTGTAAAACTCAGTGGTAATAAGTACACAGAAAAACACAGAATATTAGAACACAGAATAATAGGTTATCTGATGCTTTTGTCTCACAGTTCTTAAGATTCTTTCCTTTGTTTTGACTTTCGATAACCTGAAGAATACATGGATCTTTTTGTGATGAATTTCCAAGGTGTTCTTTGAGCTTCTTGCATTTGAACGTCTAGATCTCTAGCAAGGTCTGGGAAGCTTTCTTCAATTATTCCCTCAAATAAGTTTTCCAGACTTCAGATTTCTCTTCTTCCTCAGGAGCACCAATTATTTTTACATTTGGTCATTTAACATAATCCCAAATTTCTTGGAGGCTTTGTTTATTTTTTTAAATTCTTTTTTCTTTGTCTTTGTCTCATTGGGTTAATTTGAAAGCCTTGTCTTTGAGCTCTGAAGTTCTTTCTTCTGCTTGTTTTAGTGTATTGTTGGAACTTTCAACTGCATTTTGTATTTCTCTAAGTGTGTCTTTCATTTCCAGAAATTGTTATTGTATCTTCTTTGTGATATATATTTCTCTTGAGAAGTTTTCATCTATATCCTCCATTGTTTTTTAATTTCTTTAAGTTGATTTTCACCTTTCTCTGGTATCTCCTTGAATAGCTTAATAACCCACCTTCTGAATTGTTTATCTGGCAATTCAAAAATTTCTTCTTGGTTTGGATACATTGCTGGCAAGCTGTTGTGATCTTTTGGGTGTGTTATAGAACCCTGTTTTGTCATATTGCCTGGATTACTTTTCTGGTACCTTCTAATTTGGGTAGACTATTTCAGTGGAGAGGCTTGAAACTTAAGTGTTGCTTAAGTAAGTGACTGACAATGACTGACCATTTGTAACCTTTGTAGGAAATATTAATGGTAGTCTTTATTCTCATTCCCTTTAGTGACACAGTGTGAATGTATTTGTACTGTCATTAGAAATTCTGTGAAGGTTGCCAGGTGGAGGCCGAGGTGGGCAGATCACCTGAGGTCAAGAGTTCGAGATCAGCCTGGCCAACATGGTGAAACCCCGTATCTCCTAAAAATACAGAAATTAACCAGGCGTAGTGGCAGTCACCTGTAATCTCAGCTACTCAGGAGGCTGAGGCAGGAGATTCGCTTGAACCTGGGAGGCAGAGGTTGCAGTGAGCCAAGATCGCACAACTGCACTCCAGCCTGAGTGACAGAGCAAAACTCTGTCTCAAAAAAAGAAAGAAAAAAAATTCTTTGAAAGCCACTACTGTCTATAAACAGGCTTTTGAAAACCCCATCACATATATAATGGGACCATGTTCACAGTGGTCATTGCACAGTTATTTCTTGGTAGTTAAAATGAGAGGATGATGACATAATAAGCTTTTTCTAATTTAAAGTTGTTTTTGATTGTATACAAAAGCTTAAAGGCATGTGATATACTTAAATATCATAGTCCATCTCTCTCAATCTCTCTCTAACTGCTTTTTGGCAAGGGACATAATGAGTATGTTAAACTAGGGTATATTTAGGATTGGTAGACTGAGGAGAATTCTTATAACCCAAATGTCAGTATTGGATATACTGCAGTTGTACAATGAGAAGCCTCCTAAGAGAGATTATTCTACTTTTGCTTTTTCGGAATTCTGTGGCTGAGGCAAAGGAAGGGATATGAAACATGGCTTAAAATAATTTATTGTAAAACATAGGCCTTGACTACTAACCTAGATAGTAGCAGTAGGAAAGATGCCACATTTTTATGATAAAAATAAAGTAGGAACTGAACAAGCTTTGGAGTTCCCAAAGTTCCCTTCTTGAGTTAGTACCTTCATCTTACAGGAAGAACTTCTCATTCCTCCTAAGCAGATGTATTCGATGTTTTTCTATGCCAGACTAATAAAAGACTTTTCATTGTTAAAATATTGGAACCTCAGGGTAAAACTCATTGCAAGGTACTTTGATTTTAACGAAGAATTTGGGAAAATACTGTATATGAAGAACTTTCTATTTGCAGTGATTGCCTTAAAGGGTAATTCAGTTCATATTAGAAGTCAACAATTAGAGTTTTAAATGAAAGATGCTATCAAAAATAGTAGCAGCATTTGGATGTTTCATAGATTCTCTAAAAATATACATTTCATGTGCAATATATGGCATTGCAACTATTATTTGGCATCTCTCATATGGTAAGTCAAATTGTTGTAGAAAAAAAAAGTTTCAGCCATAAGAGGCAGAGATTCTGAGCCTTATTTGTAAAATGGGAATAATATTTCCTCACAGGTTTGCTAGGAGACCAAATAGGATAATACATATAGATGTGCTTTGTGAATTGTAAAATGCTCAGCAGATATTAATTCTAATTCCAGCGTCATGTGCAATTAGTTCTTGTAAGAGTGTTTTTTTCAACAATATCCTAAACTTCCCGGTGAAACCAGGTATGAATCTTCATTTGATCACAGATAAAAAAGACAAATTATTCTCTGCAGCCAATAGGAGATCAATTTTTTTGAATGAGAAAGGCAATATAATTGGAGCTAGTCTGAGCCATCACAGACATCTTTCTAGAAATGGCCCCATTTTTACCTATAACTGGAATTCAATTTATGTTGTTTCGTATTTCTGAACAAATATAAGAGATCAGGAAAGAATGTGTTCTCTGGCTTTTCTTTGCTTCTCCCATGTGGCTTTCTGAATCAGTCTTTGCTGGGGAGAAATTTCAAAGAAATTTGCAATCATGCTCTCATATTCATCTTCTGAGGTAGTGTGTAAGAGGGCTCAGTGTATGAACAATAAAACTAGAACTGAACACTTAAAATTAATATAAATTTCAAGTATATAATATTGTCTTAATTAACAATGATTTAAACTTATCGGTTGAATTATTTCATTGAAGAATAATGAATATTTCATTGAAGAACAATGAATATTTCATTGAAGAATAAAATAATTTTATCTCCTAAGGCATGTGTGTGTATATATATATATATATATATATATATATATATATATATATATAATAGGTATTTGAACTTTTGAACTGCTGTCTTATAATTTTAATTATTTATGTTATATTTCTTTAACATGATTTATATTATTCTGAATTCAATTATTGTTTAGAGGAAGCTAGTTCTAAAAATTATATGTAATTATAATTATATGAATATTTTTGTATTTATAATACAATGATATAAATATATATAATTATGTGAAATTATGTATGCATAAAATCTTTACAGGCAACAATTTTTGATATGTATTCAATTAAGTAAATATACTACATGATTTTATACTATGCATTCATAATTTTTTTAAAATTTTTATTTTATTTGTGGCATTGGGGTTGAAGTTCTTTTTTTCCCTCTCTTATTATAAATTAATTACTTATTATGACTGTACTAAAATTCAAGTCTTCTAATATGTGCTATCCAGACCCATGATTCTATTAAACTCTCTATTAATAAAACATATATGTAGTTTGATACAGAAATAAATGCTTTCACTTATTAAAAATAAAAACTTGAAATAACTATTTTCTTGGCTTTGGATAAGAGACTAGACCCTATACACTCTTTCTTTATTTCAGCCTAGTCTAAAGCTGCGATGGTGACCAAAATTTTCACAAAGACTGACTCCCTGTTTCTAGCATGCAACTTCATGGATAAGTGCTGTAATGACAAGGACCAGAGAGTATGCTTTCATTATACTTCTCAATCTCTTTTCCTGCCGAGACAGCTGGACATTTTTACTGGGGGAAGAGGAAAGAAGAAAGACTTCCACAATACTTTGCACATTGTAAATTCTCAACGTGTTTGTTGAACAAATGTAAAATATTTGCAGTTCCTCAAGTAAATGCCTTATTTCCCATGTCCTATATCATAATGCACATTCATGTTAATGAATATATTATAAGTGCATGTGTATAATACAAAAATGTTTCATTTCACTAGAATTTGAGACTTCAGACAGTAGCTGATTATCCTGAGTGTAAACTTGCAGGGAATAAGGGTTTGGTGGTAAGTTGTACAGTAGAATGATATTTTTGTGTACTGAAAAAGAAGAGATAATTTCAACACTTCGTATCATTGTGAAAAAGCATGGCTGTGGGAGCCATGTTAAAGCTGTGCAGGAAGTACAAGGGAAGGAAAATCAAATAGGAAAAAAGCTATCTGACAAGAGCCATGTCTGGATTTGTTTATTAGCTATACTGAAGTAAAAATTAAAGATGTATTTTATCTAAGACATTTAAACTCACTTGATTTCTTTACACTTATATTAGTGAATTTATTTTTAATTTAAAATACTAATAAATTTACATGCAGTTCCTGAAATCAGATCTTATAAAGGCATTAAAAATATGGTATTTAGTTAGAAACAGAATACCTTTTATTATATTTTGTATTTACCATACAACAGAGGAGGTTCATATTTACGTAGTTGTCACTGGTTATACAATGCATTTCTACTATTTATAAACTATATCTGCTTCATGTGGCAAGGCCAAAGGAAGATAATATATGTTATATGTAAACTGAACAACCAAGTGTCTGACACTCACTAAATTGGAGATGTCATCTTCATTTTCATCATAACCATCATATCTCTTTCAAAGGTCAAAGAGTACGCTTTAATCCTGTTTTGTTCTTAGTCTTTTATGAAGTTTGAATTCATATAGAAAAATAATCTAGCATCCTTTGAATTCCTCGATATGCCTTTCTTTTAGCTTTTTCCTTTTCTGTTTTTAGTTATCCAACAGAAGTTGCCAAATTTAGTGTGGTTTAGGTGTAACTGAACCCCACTGTATTCTATGAGAATTCCACAGTAAGTAAAGTCCTTTGTTTTCATCATTTTCTGGAGTAATTCACAGTCAACAGTGACCTGAGTCCTGTTCCTAGGCCTTAAATGACAGCATAGATATAATAGTTTAGGTTATATTTTTCTGAACTGAGTTGCCTTACTTTCATCTATCTTTAAACTTTTCTTGAAACTTATCTGATGCTTTTCTGTCAACTCAAATAGCTATGTTATATCTTCTCACGGTTTAACACATCCATATATATTGGCATTTTTCTCTTGTTTCATTTGACTCTGTGCCATTTAAATTATCTGAGAGGTAAGGAACAGAGCCAGAAAACAGTGTACTCTGTTGTGCAGGCCTCCTGAAGATGCGTCCTAAAATAACGTAAGAAAGGGGCATCTTTCAAGTATGCAGAATATAAGGCCACATTTGTGCTATTATTTGAGGGATGCTATTACTCTTCCCTTGTCTTCAAATACTTTCTGCCACACACAAAAATGTCTCCATCCTCAACTTTCTGTATTGTGAATATGTTAAGGAAATTTTAGAATGCTTTAGGTCCTAATGGATTTCCTTGGTTCAGGAGACACAACTTAAATTTCATTTTATCTGGGAATACCTTCCTGACTCCTCTAGGTAATTAGGCTTTGCCCCATTCTCCTACTGATCCCTGTCTACACTTTAGTTGTAGCATAAGACAAATTTACTTGTTTTCATGATAGCTGACACAGTGCCTGAAAGAAAAATGCTCTCAATACATATGGGTCAACAAATACAAAATAAATAAATGAGGCAAATGCTTAGGGGAAATATTTTATTTTAAGCCTGAAATACCTCTCCATTAAATATTTGATAAGATCTGCATGTGAGTTAATTTGTTAAGAATAGGGAGTTGTGAGGAGTGAGTGGAGTGGGTGTTATCTCTCATACAAATGAGAAGGGAGTTTTCTGTGGAAAGAAGAGTAGAAAAGATTGGTAGATACTTCTTACAGCTTTTCTTACAGCCTGACTGAATTAAATCTTTGTATACCTAATCATGTCCTCTTTACCATTCCATACTATCTCCTGTAAAACAAAAATAAAATTCTAAGCCCCTTCACCATCTAAATAAACTCTTACTGTCAGCTAAGGGCATTCCAAAGTTAGCCTGAAAAACTAGTGTCAGGCCATGATGGGAAGTGGGAGCTGGACATGCTTAATTACACCCTTCTTCCTTTTGGAATTACTGGTAGAACAGATTCTTTACGTCTGATAAGAAACATTTACAATCTCTTCTCTCTGAGGCCGGCTACCTGGAGGCTTCATCTGCATGACAAAACCTTGGTCTCCACAACCACTTATCACAACCCAGACATTCCTTTCTATTGGTAATAACTGTTTCAACCAATTCACAATCAGAAAATCTTTGAATCCTCCCATGACTTGGAAGCCCCTGCTTCCCAGTTGTTCTGCTTTCTGGACTGAACCAGTGGACATCATATATGCATTAACTGATGCCTTATGTCTCCATAAAATGCATAAAACAAAGTTGTGGCCTAACCACCTTGGGCACATGTTCTTACAGTCTCCTGAGGCCTGTGTTACAGGCCATTGGTCAGTCATAATTTGGCTCAGAATAAATCTCTTAAAATATTTTAGAGGGGGAGGAGCCAAGATGGCCGAATAGGAACAGCTCCAGTCTACAGCTCCCAGGGTGAGCGACGCAGAAGACGGGTGATTTCTGCATTTCCATCTGAGGTACCGGGTTCATCTCACTAGGGAGTGCCAGACAGTGGGCGCAGGCCAGTGTGTGTGCACACCGTGCGCGAGCCGAAGCAGGGCGAGGCATTGCCTCACCTGGGAAGCGCAAGGGGTCAGGGAGTTCCCTTTCCGAGTCAAAGAAAGGGGTGACGGACGCACCTGGAAAATCGGGTCACTCCCACCCGAATATTGCGCTTTTCAGACCGGCTTAAGAAACGGCGCACCACGAGACTATATCCCACACCTGGCTCAGAGGGTCCTACGCCCACGGAATCTCGCTGATTGCTAGCACAGCAGTCTGAGATCAAACTGCAAGGCGGCAGCGAGGCTGGGGGAGGGGCGCCCGCCATTGCCCAGGCTTGCTTAGGTAAACAAAGCAGCCGGGAAGCTCCAACTGGGTGGAGCCCACCACAGCTCAAGGAGGCCTGCCTGCCTCTGTAGGCTCCACCTCTGGGGGCAGGGCACAGACAAACAAAAAGACAGCAGTAACCTCTGCAGACTTAAGTGTCCCTGTCTGACAGCTTTGAAGAGAGCAGTGGTTCTCCCAGCACGCAGCTGGAGATCTGAGAACAGGCAGACTGCCTCCTCAAGTGGGTCCCTGACTCCTGACCCCCGAGCAGCCTAACTGGGAGGCATCCCCCAGCAGGGGCACACTGACACCTCACACGGCAGGGTATTCCAACAGACCTGCAGCTGAGGGTCCTGTCTGTTAGAAGGAAAACTAACAACCAGAAAGGACATCTACACCGAAAACCCATCTGTACATCACCATCATCAAAGACCAAAAGTAGATAAAACCACAAAGATGGGGAAAAAACAGAACAGAAAAACTGGAAACTCTAAAACGCAGAGCGCCTCTCCTCCTCCAAAGGAACGCAGTTCCTCACCAGCAACAGAACAAAGCTGGATGGAGAATGATTTTGACGAGCTGAGAGAAGCAGGCTTCAGACGATCAAATTACTCTGAGCTACGGGAGGACATTCAAACCAAAGGCAAAGAAGTTGAAAACTTTGAAAAAAATTTAGAAGAATGTATAACTAGAATAACCAATACAGAGAAGTGCTTAAAGGAGCTGATGGAGCTGAAAACCAAGGCTCGAGAACTACGTGAAGAATGCAGAAGCCTCAGGAGCCGATGCGATCAACTGGAAGAAAGGGTATCAGCAATGGAAGATGAAATGAATGAAATGAAGCGAGAAGGGAAGTTTAGAGAAAAAAGAATAAAAAGAAATGAGCAAAGCCTCCAAGAAATATGGGACTATGTGAAAAGACCAAATCTACGTCTGATTGGTGTACCTGAAAGTGATGTGGAGAATGGAACCAAGTTGGAAAACACTCTGCAGGATATTATCCAGGAGAACTTCCCCAATCTAGCAAGGCAGGCCAATGTTCAGATTCAGGAAATACAGAGAACGCCACAAAGATACTCCTCGAGAAGAGCAACTCCAAGACACATAATTGTCAGATTCACCAAAGTTGAAATGAAGGAAAAAATGTTAAGGGCAGCCAGAGAGAAAGGTCGGGTTACCCTCAAAGGAAAGCCCATCAGACTAACAGTGGATCTCTCGGCAGAAACCCTACAAGCCAGAAGAGAGTGGGGGCCAATATTCAACATTCTTAAAGAAAAGAATTTTCAACCCAGAATTTCATATCCAGCCAAACTAAGCTTCATAAGTGAAGGAGAAATAAAATACTTTATAGACAAGCAAATGCTGAGAGATTTTGTCACCACCAGGCCTGCCCTAAAAGAGCTCCTGAAGGAAGCGCTAAACATGGAAAGGAACAACCGGTACCAGCTGCTGCAAAATCATGCCAAAATGTAAAGACCATCGAGACTAGGAAGAAACTGCATCAACTAATGAGGAAAATCACCAGCTAACATCATAATGACAGGATCAAATTCACACATAACAATACTAACTTTAAATATAAATGGACTAAATTCTGCAATTAAAAGACACAGACTGGCAAGTTGGATAAAGAGTCAAGACCCATCAGTGTGCTGTATTCAGGAAACCCATCTCACGTGCAGACACACATAGGCTCAAAATAAAAGGATGGAGGAAGATCTACCAAGCAAATGGAAAACAAAAAAAGGCAGGGGTTGCAATCCTAGTCTCTGATAAAACAGACTTTAAACCAACAAAGATCAAAAGAGACAAAGAAGGCCATTACATAATGGTAAAGGAATCAATTCAACAAGAGGAGCTAACTATCCTAAATATTTATGCACCCAATACAGGAGCACCCAGATTCATAAAGCAAGTCCTCAGTGACCTACAAAGAGACTTAGACTCCCACACATTAATAATGGGAGACTTTAACACCCCACTGTCAACATTAGACAGATCAACGAGACAGAAAGTCAACAAGGATACCCAGGAATTGAACTCAGCTCTGCACCAAGCAGACCTAATAGACATCTACAGAACTCTCCACCCCAAATCAACAGAATATACATTTTTTTCAGCACCACACCACACCTATTCCAAAATTGACCACATACTTGGAAGTAAAGCTCTCCTCAGCAAATGTAAAAGAACACAAATTATAACAAACTATCTCTCAGACCACAGTGCAATCAAACTAGAACTCAGGATTAAGAATCTCACTCAAAGCCGCTCAACTACATGGAAACTGAACAACCTGCTCCTGAATGACTACTGGGTACATAATGAAATGAAGGCAGAAATAAAGATGTTCTTTGAAACCAACGAGAACAAAGACACCACATACCAGAATCTCTGGGACGCATTCAAAGCAGTGTGTAGAGGGAAATTTATAGCACTAAATGCCTACAAGAGAAAGCAGGAAAGATCCAAAATTTACACCCTAACATCACAATTAAAAGAACTAGAAAAGCAAGAGCAAACACATTCAAAAGCTAGCAGAAGGCAAGAAATAACTAAAATCAGAGCAGAACTGAAGGAAATAGAGACACAAAAAACCCTTCAAAAAATCAATGAATCCAGGAGCTGGTTTTTTGAAAGGATCAACAAAATTGATAGACCGCTAGCAAGACTAATAAAGAAAAATAGAGAGAAGAATCAAATAGACACAATAAAAAATGATAAAGGGGATATCACCACCGATCCCACAGAAATACAAACTACCATCAGAGAATACTACAAACAACTCTACGCAAATAAACTAGAAAATCTAGAAGAAATGGATACATTCCTCGACACATACACTCTCCCAAGACTAAACCAGGAAGAAGTTGAATCTCTCAATAGACCAATAACAGGCTCTGAAATTGTGGCAATAATCAATAGTTTACCAACAAAAAGAGTCCAGGACCAGATGGATTCACAGCCGAATTCTACCAGAGGTACATGGAGGAACTGGTACCATTCCTTCTGAAACTATTCCAATCAATAGAAAAAGAGGGAATCCTCCCTAACTCATTTTATGAGGCCAGCATCATTCTGATACCAAAGCCGGGCAGAGACACAACCAAAAAAGAGAATTTTAGACCAATATCCTTGATGAACATTGATGCAAAAATCCTCAATAAAATACTGGCAAACCGAATCCAGCAGCACATCAAAAAGCTTATCCACCATGATCAAGTGGGCTTCATCCCTGGGATGCAAGGCTGGTTCAATATACGCAAATCAATAAATGTAATCCAGCATATAAACAGAGCCAAAGACAAAAACCACATGATTATCTCAATAGATGCAGAAAAAGCCTTTGACAAAATTCAACAACCTTCATGCTAAAAACTCTCAATAAATTAGGTATTGATGGGACATATTTCAAAATAATAAGAGCTATCTATGACAAACCCACAGCCAATATCATAAAGAATGGGCAAAAACTGGAAGCATTCCCTTTGAAAACTGGCACAAGACAGGGATGCCCTCTCTCACCACTCCTATTCAACATAGTGTTGGAAGTTCTGGCCAGGGCAATCAGGCAGGAGAAGGAAATAAAGGGTATTCAATTAGGAAAAGAGGAAGTCAAATTGTCCCTGTTTGCAGACGACATGATTGTTTATCTAGAAAACCCCATCGTCTCAGCCCAAAATCTCCTTAAGCTGATAAGCAACTTCAGCAAAGTCTCAGGATACAAAATCAATGTACAAAAATCACAAGCATTCTTATACACCAACAACAGACAAACAGAGAGCCAAATCATGGGTGAACTCCCATTCACAATTGCTTCAAAGAGAATAAAATACCTAGGAATCCAACTTACAAGGGATGTGAAGGACCTCTTCAAGGAGAACTACAAACCACTGCTCAAGGAAATAAAAGAGGAGACAAACAAATGGAAGAACATTCCATGATCATGGGTAGGAAGAATCAATATCGTGAAAATGGCCACACTGCCCAAGGTAATTTACAGATTCAATGCCATCCCCATCAAGCTACCAATGACTTTCTTCACAGAATTGGAAAAAACTACTTTAAAGTTCATATGGAACCAAAAAAGAGCCCGCATCGCCAAGTCAATCCTAAGCCAAAAGAACAAAGCTGGAGGCATCACACTACCTGACTTCAAACTTTACTACAAGGCTACAGTAACCAAAACAGCATGGTACTGGTACCAAAACAGAGATATAGATCAATGGAACAGAACAGAGCCCTCAGAAATAACGCCGCATATCTACAACTATCTGATCTTTGACAAACCTGAGAAAAACAAGCAATGGGGAAAGGATTCCCTATTTAATAAATGGTGCTGGGAAAACTGGCTAGCCATATGTAGAAAGCTGAAACTGGATCCCTTCCTTACACCTTATACAAAAATCAATTCAAGATGGATTAAAGATTTAAACGTTAAACCTAAAACCATAAAAACCCTAGAAGAAAACCTAGGCATTACCATTCAGGACATAGGCGTGGGCAAGGACTTCATGTCCAAAACACCAAAAGCAATGGCAACAAAAGACAAAATTGACAAATGGGATCTAATTAAACTAAAGAGCTTCTGCACAGCAAAAGAAACTACCATCAGAGTGAACAGGCAACCTACAACATGGGAGAAAATTTTCGCAACCTACTCATCTGACAAAGGGCTAATATCCAGAATCTACAATGAACTCAAACAAATTTACAAGAAAAAAACAAACAACCCCATCAAAAAGTGGGCGAAGGACATGAACAGACACTTCTCAAAAGAAGACATTTATGCAGCCAAAAAACACATGAAGAAATGCTCATCATCACTGGCCATCAGAGAAATGCAAATCAAAACCACTATGAGATATCATCTCACACCAGTTAGAATGGCAATCATTAAAAAGTCAGGAAACAACAGGTGCTGGAGAGGATGCGGAGAAATAGGAACACTTTTACACTGTTGGTGGGACTGTAAACTAGTTCAACCATTGTGGAAGTCAGTGTGGCGATTCCTCAGGGATCTAGAACTAGAAATACCATTTGACCCAGCCATCCCATTACTGGGTATATACCCAAAGGACTATAAATCATGCTGCTATAAAGACACATGCACACGTATGTTTATTGCGGAACTATTCACAATAGCAAAGACTTGGAACCAACCCAAATGTCCAACAATGATAGACTGGATTAAGAAAATGTGGCACATATACACCATGGAATACTATGCAGCCATAAAAAATGATGAGTTCATATTCTTTGTAGGGACATGGATGAAATTGGAAACCATCATTCTCAGTAAACTATCGCAAGAACAAAAAACCAAACACCGCATATTCTCACTCATAGGTGGGAATTGAACAATGAGATCACATGGACACAGGAAGGGGAATATCACACTCTGGGGACTGTGGTGGGGTCGGGGGAGGGGGGAGGGATAGCATTGGGAGATATACCTAATGCTAGATGACACATTAGTGGGTGCAGCGCACCAGCATGGCACATGTATACATATGTAACTAACCTGCACAATGTGCACATGTACCCTAAAACTTAGAGTATAATAAAAAAAAAAAAATATATATATATTTTAGAGTTTGACTCTTTGTGTTGACACTTCCTACATCTTATCACACTCTCTGACAACACTTTCTTTTCATACTCTTGCCTTTGTGTAGCAAATTTACCTACGAATAAAGGACTGAATATAAACTAGGACTTTCTATTGATATGGAGAAGGTATAGAAACATAGAAACATATTAAGAAACAAAAAGTGATAAAATTTAAAGCTGCAATATTCTGGTTTGTACATATCCATTTAGAATGATTCATTTCTTTAGCAAATAAAGTATGTTTTAATTTTTCCTAAAGTGTAATATAAAATATTAAACATTTTGAGTAAAAATGTTACATAAACAAAATAAAAACAGTCATAGCATTGCTCTTGGATGAATGCCTGTCACTCAGACACATGGTTTTCTGCTAATCTACCCATAATGGGGAATTTGACGAAAGGTTATTTTTCTTTTTTGTTAGCAGTTTGTCAGAAGAACATGGGTGTTTACATGTGTAATATCATTTTGAGTAACAAAAGCCTCTGACTTTATGACAATGTGTCCACTACTGTTTTGTTGATACAGCAATATCTCCTATGATACTTGCATTCATTTCTTAGGTGTTTTACTTTTTTTAGAATTAGAAAAAATAGATCATTTTTTCCATTTAGGAAATACTTTAGGAAATGAAGTTCAATTTTAGGGCTAGAAAGTTTTAATAAAATAAAACTGATACACATACAAAATAGATGTAAGGTTGAATATTAGATGTGGAAATAAAGGATTATTATTAGGATTATTATTAGGATTACTATTAGGATTGTGAGTGGAGAACACTGAAACATAATTAACATAATTTTTAAAACCCATATTTGAATATTCCAATAAAAATGTCAATTCTTGTTTCTACGTCCCTCATATATGTTTTGAGGATTCTGACATTGTTAACCTGAGAAATATCACCCTTAACAGTCCTCCTTCTAACTGCATTCCTGGTTCTGTCAGCCTTTTCAAGCCAATTTTCAGTCAGTAGTGGTATTTTCTTAAAATTAACATGTGGAAAATTGTATATAATTAGTAGAGAGCATCCTTTTTTCTCTATTTGCACTTTAGGAACATTTTCCATGTTTCTAGCATTAGTCTACCTCATCCTACCAGCCCATTTTATTCACTCATGATTTGGACCATATTCACTCATGATATGGCCCATCCTTATGAATGAATGGCTACCTATGTGGTATGATGTGAAAAATACTGACCTGTCTCTGAGTTTCTTAATATCTCCCCTATGGGTACTGACAGTATTATTGATAAGCTCCATTATTATTATTCCTGTGATAATTTTGAACAGTTTAACCTTTATTAGCTACAGTACCTTCATATGTACAGTGAAAATAATATTACTTATTCTGAGGTTCAAGAGAGATTATGTGTATGAAATGCTTACGTGGAGTAAATGTGGTGCTATGGCTTGAAGGTGTCCCTTTCAAAATTCAGGTTCTGTCAATATAATAGTTTTAAGAGATGGGGACTTTAAAAAGTGATTAGGTCATGGGGGCACTTACCTGGCCAAAGAGATTAAGGCCCTTATAAAAGAGGCTTCACGCAGCATTAGGTGTGCTTGCCCCTCTGCCTTCAGCCATGTGAGGACACAGTGTTCTCCCCGATCCAGAGGATGCAACAATAAGGACCATCTTGGGAGCAGAGAACAGAAAGCAGCTATCAACAGAAGACCAAACTTGCCAGCGCCGTGATCTCCAACTTTCTAAGCTTCAGAGCAATGAAAAATAAATTTCTGTTCTTTATGAATTACCTAGTCTCAGGTATCCTAGTTTAACAGCATGAATGGATTAAGACATGTGATTATAATAATACTGATAAATAACTACGGTGAAAGATGTTAGCACTGCTCACCAGTATTTCTCATTCTTCTCTCTTGCTGGATACAAACGAAAATTGTACCTCCCTTCCCCTTTGAAAATAGGTGTAGCTGTGAGAATTACCTTGAGCAGGCAATAAAATATGAGTGAAAGTAATGAGTGTCACTTCCAGGTAAAGCTCTTAAAAACGTATCTTGTTCTCCCTTATACCATTTCCCACCACCCAAAGCAAGTGGCAACAGTCCAGATAGTAGAATCTGTGTCAAACTGTGTCCCTAAGTGAGGACTATGTGAAGCAGAGCACCTCTCTCCAATCTAAACAATGGACTTGTAGAACATGTAGTAATGAGGGAGAAACAGACTTTACTGACTTTAAACAAATGATATTTTGGTGTTTAATCATAGCACATATTAGCATATCATAATTAACATAATTTATTCTGTAAGTTTCAGTATTTCATTATATTGAATATTATTTTTTTGTGGCAAAATATACAAAGACATGGGACATCTTTTCATTTACTTGGGTCTTCTTTCTTTCACCAATATTTTGTTGTTTTTAGTTTATAAATCTGTCACTTCCATGTTTACGTTTCAAGATTGTTTTGGCTATTTGGGTTTCCCTGTGACTCCATATGAGTGTTAGGAAGAGTTTGTCTATTTCTGAAGAAACTATCATTTAGATTTTTATAAGAATTACATTGAAACCAAGCATAGCTTTGGGGAGTATTGATATGTTAACAATAGTAAGTTTTTGAATCTATTAACAATGGCTAGCATTCCAATTATTTACATTGCTTTTAATTTCTTTCAGCAATGTTTTTTATTTTCTTTGATATTTTCTTTGCTGTCAGTCTTTTGTCTTCATGTATATCCTTACTTTCTTCATCATTTTATTTATTTCATTATTATTTTATTTTCTTCATTATTAATCTTTCACCTCCAAGTATTCCCAAGTTTTTTTTTATTATTATTTTCTATTGTGGTAAGATATACGTAGCATAAAAATCACTATTTTAATTATTTTTAAGTGTATGGGTCAATGGCATTAAGTATATTCACCTTCTTGTGTAATCATCACACTATTTTTCTCCAGGATTTTTTATCACCAGAAACCAAATGTCTGTGCCTATTAAACAATAATTCTCCATTCTCCTGACCACCAGCCCCTAGTAGCCATTATTCTACTTTCTATCTCTATGAATTTGTCTACTCTGGAAAGCTCATGTTACAGGAACCATACAATATTTTTACTTTGGTGACTGGCTTAATGTCTCCACTTAGCATAATGTCTCTATGGTTTCTCCATATCATCAGATGTGTCAGAATTTTATTTGATTTTGTGGTTAGATAATAGTCCATTGTATGTACCTACCACATTTATTTATCCATTAATCTGTTGATTGACACTGGATTTTTTCTATCTTTTGACTATGGTGAATAATGCTGCTATGAAAATGGTGTATACATATCTATTTGAGTCCCTGCTTTCACTTATACTGGGTATATACCCAGAATTGGGATTGCTGGATCATATGGTAATAATTGTATATGGAATTGCCATACCATTTTCCATAGCACTTGTACCATGTTACACTACCACCAGCAATGCATGAGTGTTCCAATTTCACCACAGCTTCACTAACACTCGTTATTTTCTGTTTCTTTTTTCTTTGTTTTCTTTTCTTAGATAACAGGTGTCAGGAATTCAGCTGAACTAGAGGGAGAAAGAGGAGAGAGAGAGAGAGAGAGTGCATGCTGAGCTGTTAGATGGGGGAATATCTGATTAAAGCAGCAAGCCAAAAATGAAAGAGTGAATCCTTTAATGGCTTACTGCAATGGTATAAGCAAGAAGCTAAAACCAGAAACAGTGCAAACACACTGTGTTCCATTTCCCCTGGTGCACTCATGAAGGGTCACTTGAATCAGTACAAAAGTGGGATGTATCTTACTGTTGAGAAAGCTCCCAAATGAAAGGCTCTAGCAGTTTTATGTCTCTGGGCTTAAAGGGAAAGCTAGAAGTGGAAAAGAACTGGGTACTGAGTCAGAGTGGAAAAGTGCTTTCAAATTTTTCTCCTCCTTACTCCCATTAGGAGGCCTTGGCAGAAGGGCTTGAAGAGAACCTTTGCAAAAGGTCTCAGACAAAGAGATTGAAGAATGAAGGCACCAGGGCTAGGAGTGTACATATGTGATGAGCATGACTAGACAAGAGAGGCTGAGAACTTGATTGCAACTCTCTCTAGAGACTGTAATAAAATGGCTCTGCCTTAAATCTGGTGTAGAGAGGGCAATTTTCCCCTGTGATGCCTGTCAGGTTGTTGTCTACAGTCTGGCCTGAAAAATTACACATAGGTTTTTAACCAGGCACCTTGCTCTTCAGTAGGCATCTTAACAGAGTGAAGTGATATCTCATTTTGTTTTGATTTGCTTTTCCCTAGTGACTAGGGACAGTAAGAATCTTTTCATGCGCTTATTAATCATTTGAATATATATATGTTGGAGATATGTTTGAGTCCTTTGTCCAATTCTTAATTGGGTTGATTGTTTTTTGTTGTTGTCCAGTTACAGAAATTCTTTATGTATTGTAGATATCAATCTCTTATCATATATTAAATTTGCAAGTATTTTTTCCATCCCACAGACTGCCTTTTCACATTTTTACCAGCATTCTTTAATATATAAAAAGTTTTTAATTTTGATGGAGTCCAACTTAACTAGTTTTTTCCGTTGTTCCCTGTCCTTTGGTATTTTATACAAGAAATCATTGCCAGACTCAAGGTCATTAAAGTTTTCTTCTTTTTTTCTAAGAGTTTTCTAGTTTTAACTTTTATGTTTAGGTCTCTGATCAATTTGGAGTTAATTTTTGTACATGGTGTAAGGTAAGGGCCCAATTTCTTTTTGCATGTGTTCTGTGGATATCCAGTTTTCCCAAAACCATTTGTCAAAGAAATTGTCCTTTCCCCATTAAATGGTCATGATATCCTTGTAGAAAATCATTGTGATAATGTGAGGTAATGTATAAATATTAATATGTGTGTAATGAATGAAAAATGTGTAATAAAATCGAGGTTGTGTGTTTCCTGACATTTATGTGAGGGTTTGTTTCTGGGCTCTTTATTCTATTCTACTGGCCTATGTATCTGTCTTTATACCATTACCACACTGTTATGATTACCATGGGTTTGTAGTAAGTTTTGAAATCAGGAAGTGCATGAAGCCACTAAACTTGGTTTTTTCCAAGTTGTTTTGGCTACAGGGGTCCTTTGATATTTCATATGAATTTTAGAATAACATTTTATATATCTACAAAAAAAGTAACTCATATTACATTTTGTAGTTATTATTTTATTGATGTATAATATTTTACATATTCATGGGGCACATATTAGTATTTTTTACATGCATAGAATGGGTAATGATGAAGTCAAGGTATTTGGAGTGTCCATCACCTTGAGTATTCATAATTTCCATGTGTTGGTAACATTTCTAGTCCTCTTTTCTTGCTATTTTGAAATATAAAATATATCGTTGCTAAGTGTAGTCACCCTAGTCTGCTATCAAACATTAAAATGTACTTTTTCTACCTAACTGTAAATTTGTACCCATTCACTAACCACTCTTCCTTTTCCCCTCACACCCTGATACTTTTTCCTGACTCTGGTATCTATCATTCTATTCTCTATCTCCATGAGATCAAGTTCCTTAGATCCCACACATGTGTGAGATCATGCAATATTTGTCTTTCTGTGTCTGTGTTATTTAATTTAACATAATGACCTCCAGTTCCATCCATTTCTGAAAATCACACAGTTTCACTCTTTTTATGGCTAAAAATTATTCTATGATGTATGTACCACATTTTCTTTCTCAATGAATCCATTGATGGAAACTTAAGTTTATTCCATATCTTTGCAATTGAGAATAGTGTTGCAATAAACATGTGTATGCAGGTATTCATTTGATACATTGATATACTTTCCTTGGGATAAATACCCAATAGTGGGATTGGTATATCATGTAGTAGTTCTATTTTCAGTTTTTTGAGAAATGTCCATACTCTTTTCATAGTGGCTGCATTAATTTACATTCCATACAGCAGCGTATAGAGTTCCCTTTTCTCCATATCCATGCCAATATGTGTTACTTTTTGTCATTTTAATAGAAGCCATTCTAACGAAGGTAACACGATATCTCATTGTGGTTTTGGTTTGCATTTCTCTGATTAGTGACAATGAGCATTTTTCACATGCCTATTGGCCATTTGTATGTCTTCTTTTGAGAATTGCCTAGTTATTTGGTTTGCCCACTTAAAAAGGATTATTATTTCTTTATTGTTGAGTTGTTTGATTTCCTGGTATATTCCAGATTTTATTCCCTTATTGTATGAGTAGTTTGCAAATATTTTGTCCCATTCAAAGGTTATCTCTTTATTCTTTGATTGTTTCATTTACTGTGCAGAAGCTTTTTAGTTTAATATAGTGCTATTTGTCTATTTTTTAAAACTTTAAGTTCTAGGATACATGTGCAGAACGTGCAAGTTTGTTACATAGGTATACATGTGCCATGGTGGTTTGCTGCACCTATCAACCTGTCATCTAGGTTTTAAGCCCCACATGCATTAGGTATTTGTCCTAATGCTCTCCCTCTCCTTGCCCCCCACCCCCTGACAGGCCCTTGTGTGTGATTTTTCCCTCCCTGTGTCCATGTGTTCTTATTGTTCAACTCCCACTTATGAGTGAGAACATGCAGTGTGTGGCTTTCTGTTCCTGTGTTAGTTTGCTAAGGGTGATGGTTTCCAGCTTCAGACATGTCTCTGCAAAAAACATGAACTCATCCGTTTTTATTGGCCGCATAGCATTCCATGGTGTATATATGCCACATTTTCTTTTTCTAGTCTATCGTTGATGGACATTTGGGTTCATTCCAAGTCTTTGCTATTGTGAATAGTGCCACAATAAACATATGTGTGCATGTGTCTTTATAGCAGCATGATTTATAATCCTTTGGGTATATATCCAGTAATGGGATGGCTGGGTCAAATGGTATTTCTGGTTCTAGTTCCTTGAGGAATCGTCACACTGTCTTCCACAATGGTTGAACTAATTTACACTCCCCCCAACAGTGTAAAAGCATTCCTATTTCTCCACATCCTCTCCAGCATCTGTTGTTTCCTTACTTTTTCATGATCACCATTCTAACTGGAATGAGACTGTATCTCATTGTAATATCTGGGCTGGAATGCACAGTTCCTCATGGCACAGTCCCTCATGGCTTCCCTTGGCTAGGGGAGGGAGTTCTCTGACCCATTGCACTTCACGGGTTAGGCGACAGCACACCCTGCTTCAGCTCTTTCTCCGTGGGCTGCACCCACTTTCTAACCAGTCCCAATGAGACGAGATAGGTACCTCAGTTGGAAATGCAGAAATCACCGTCCTTCTGGGTTGATCTCGCTGGGAGCTGCAGACCAGAGCTGTTCCTATTTGGCCATCTTGCCAGCCCTCCTAATGAACACATCTTAAAACCTAAGAAATTGAATCTTACTGGTACCTTGCATCTATTTCTATGCTATGCAATCTTTTGGGGGTCTTCCCTTAAATGGAAGGGTTGCAGTCATAATTTGATCTTAAATATGCTATGATGTGCTCTCAGTGTTCCTTGATACTCTTTGTTGCCAAAATTTGTAAACACTAATGTAAATTCTAAGTTCAGAGCAGTTCAGAGAAGAAAGATATTAGCTGGAGAAAATTGGAAACTTTTTTTGACAGGGCAGAGATATAATCTCTTACTGAAAGGGTGATGAATAGGTCTTTGTAATCATGAAGAAGACAGTGAAGAAAATTCACGTGGAGGAAACATTCTAATAAATGGTGCAGATTTGGGAATGGATATTTCATATTGAAGGATAATGAGGATATTTCCTGGTTATATTAGAGAGTTTGTGTTGGATAGTATTGAAATAGATATATGTAAAAATAGTTTGTGAAGTATCTTAAATGCAAATTTGTAGAGTTTGAAATTGTCTCAAAAACAATGGGAGACATTTTACGTTTTTGTTTAGAGACATGGTAGGGTATAAGGGCTATAAGATCAAGAATCATTGTCTCTTTGGTTTAACACTTCATTAAACAAATATAAATTGACACCTTACTATGTGCCATGCGTAATAGTAAGGGGTCAATTTATATCAAATAGTATTTGTTGAATGAAGAAATTGTAACACGCAAGAGACTAGATGCAGGAAGATCATTTTTGAGGCCATTCAATTAAAGACCTTGCCCAGAGTGGTAGCAGTGGGAATAAAAACGAAAATTGGGACAAATGTTATAAGCACAACAGGAAACTGTTGTTAAAAAAAAAAGCATCTTAAGTACTAGTCAGCACTAAAATTGGTAACTACAGTATTTAATTTGTAGAATTCATATGTGCTAATGTAAAGAATGAAGTGGATGTTTTTGAGCAATTTGAGGTCCAAGTAAAGGTAAAGAGTGGGTTCATTGAGTATGAGGATTTGAATATTTTTTATTTAAATTTTCTCATTTGGGAACATGAATGACCTGGAGAATGGTAACAATTAGTAAGTATTATATTTCAGAATTCCTAAATAGGCATTCTTTCATCTATCATGCATTATGGCAATAAGCAGACTGCTTTTAGTATCATTCTCATCTGTAAACCGAGGATAACAGTAATTACTACATAGGGTTTGTATAAGGATTAAATGAGTTAATAAATGCAAAGCCGTTAGTAGAGTACTTGGCACATAAAATGATGAATATTTTTTAGTAGAGTTAATACTAAATCAGTAGTAACTTCTGGTTGAACATTTATCTGATAAATTGTTTCTAAAACTCAACTTCTATTAAAGGTTTTAGGACTCCTTAGATATAGAGTATTATACATATTACACCCCCCCACCCCTTTTTAACCTTTCTTGGCCTTTGGTTGAATCTATATTAAGATACTTGATTGATGTTCTTAGTCTATTACATTTTGGCTGAGTCTGCCTTGGGAAAAATAAATAATTTGTTCCTTTTAATATAGTAAAATCTTCTAACTTCTTTGCTTTTCATACTAGGACATATTTGATATTGGAAGTAAATGAGGCATTAAGCCATTGGGCTTATGTATTTCTGCCAACATTGAAATCTGCTCCTGATTTCTCAAAAGAAGAAAAGAAATACCTCAAATGTCCTGAGTAATATATAAACCAGGTCATTTCCTTTAAAGGCCTTTTTTTGGGAGAAAAATATAATCTTTATACTTTTGATTATTAAAAAAAAAGTGTGAAGATTAACTTGACATGGGAATTTAGGATATGAATATCCTGATTAATTACTAAACCATGAATATAGTAAGCCTTCTTTTGAGCTATACTTGGAGAATTTTTATTCAATTTTTATTTAAAAAGTCCCCAGGATGATACCTGTAGATATTTATTGTAAACATTGAACAAATGTTTCAACTGAATTTTCTGGCAAATACTATCTTTACCTCTTCAGGTATCCACAGCCAGTCCTCCATAACCTTGGGTTCCACACTCATAGATTCAACCAACTAAAGATGAAAAATATTTAAAAAAGAAAAAAAAAATACAACAATAAAATTAAAATTAAAATACAGTATAACAACAATTTACATAGCATTTACATTGTGTTAGGTATTATAAGTAACCAAGAGATGATTTAAAGTGTTCATAAAGATGTGCATAGGTTATATGCAAATACTATGCCATTTTCTATAAGGTACTTAAGCATCTCTAGATTTTGGAATACACAGGAGGCCCAGGAACCAATCCCCAGTGAATACTGAAGGATGAATGTAGTCTTTTTTTTTTTTTTTTTTTTTTTAAAGAATATCCCAGATGGCTGACTAGATACAGCCAGAAGGAACATCTGTCACTGAGAAATTGGGACATCAGGAATACTGGCACACCATGAGTAGACCTTCGGAGGGAAGGCATTGAGAATGGATGGAGAGAGGACACAGATGCTGGGTTGAAGCGGGAGGAAGCTGGGAATCCTGCACAGGGCTACTGAGCACTGGGAAATGTTCCTGGCCCCCAGAAATTTCTGGGGAAAGGGTGAGTACAACAGGAAAAAAGTGGCCCACTCTCACCACGGACCTCTGGCATCTTGGTAGTAGGAGACCCCACAACCCCGATGGACACTTGAGCTGTGAGAGAGCTGCTTAAAGGGATGTTAGGGGCAAGATTTCAGCCTATGTGGAGCCCAGAGCATTTGGTATGGGAACGTATGCAGTTGATCATGGCCAGGGAGATGCATCCCCCAAGTCTCACCATGTTCCCGTAAGAGACATTAGCCTTGGGCTGGCTTTTGGACCCAGACACAGCAGGGAAGTCTTGCCCATGAGATGAGGCAAATTCAATCTGAACACAGTCATGTCTGCTTGCCTCTCCAGGGCCCCAGCCTGTCCATGCCCAGTTGCCATGCAGCCTCAGATGCTCAAACTGGGTGTGAACTTGCGGCCTTCATCATAGCTCCTTTAATGACAGATTATGCCTGACCTTCAGAGAGCTCCAACAGAGTAGCCTCTGCTGACATTCACCAGTCCAACAGCATCCTCCCTCAACTGCAGCCTCCCCTGTGCCACTTTGTAGGCACACACATGCCCATGGCCAACCATTCATTGCTTTGCTGGCATGGGTGAATGGGTAGACTGCAGCTCCCTTTCCCCACCAGCATGTGTGTGTGCATGCACCCTGTCACGCCACTGCTGGTGGCAAGAGCAAATCCCTTGTGCTCGACCACTGATATGTAGACATTGGGCCACATTGCCATTGCAAGCGTGAATGCATGTATGGATGCCAGAAACCCTGCTCCCTCTTGTGCTGACACTGCTGCTGATACAAACACACACATGGATGTGGGCCAGCATCCCCACTCCCCTACGTTACCATTGCTGTTGCTGCAAATGTGTGCATGGAGGTAGCCTTACATCAGCCAGCACCCTGCCCCAACTGTTGCCACCAGTGTGACAGTGAGCATACACACCAGCAACCCCATGCCTACCAGTACCCTGCCCCTCTATGCCACTGACAGCACTGGCATGAATCCATGCAGAAATGCAGCAGTCCTGCTCTTACCAGTACTCCACCCCAGCCAACTTGTGTGCATCTTGTCATACTGCCACAGCTGCTGTACTCACAAGCAAGCATGAATCCTGCTGCCACTTACCTGACAATGTGCTTTGGCTGGCATCACCCATTGGAATGTTGTGGTTAGCAGACTGAGAACACATCAGTCTCTCTAGTGAAGCAGGTTCATAACCTTGAAGGGCCAGAGAACCAAGGCAATGGCCTGGTACCAGGCCCCCAGAGTTAGTGCACACAGCCCAGGATTGCTGAGCGGAGACTTGCCCCCCTAAAATCTTCCAGAAATGAAGCCAGTCAACTGAGTCCACCTTATACCAAAATCAAACCCTCAAGGGCATCAAAGAAGATAAAAGGAAAGGAAACTCATCCAAAAGATAACAACTTCGAAGATTGAAGGAACATCAGCCCACACAGAAGAGAAACAACCAGCACAAGAACTCTGGAAACTCAAAAAGTCAGAGTGTCTACTAACATGCAAATGACTACTCTACTTCTTTAGCCATGGTTCTTAACAAGGCCAAAATGACTGAAATTACAGAAATAGTGTTCAGAATATGGGTAGGAACAAAAATCATTGAGATTCAGCAGAAATTCAAATCCCAATGCATGGAACCTTCAGAATAAATGAAAATGATACAGGTGATGAAAGATAAAATAGTCATTTTTAAAAAGAAACAAACTGGACAGAGGTGAAAAACTCACTACAAGAATTTCATGATACAATCACAAGTATTAACAGCAGAATTGACCAAACTTAGTAAAGAATCTCAGAGTGAAAAGAGTGGTTCTCTGAAATAAGTCAATCAGACAAAGATTTTAAAAAATAATGAAGGATAAACAAACACTCTAAGAAATATGGGATTATATAAGGAGACCAAATCTGATTCATTGGTGTCCTTGAAAGAGAGTGAGGGAAAGTAAGCAACTTGAAAATAATTTGAGAATATCATCCTTGAAAATCAGCCCAAACTTGCTAAAGAGGCCAACATTCAACTTCAGGAAACGCAGAAGAACCTTGCAAGACACTATGCAAGATGACCACACCTAAGACACATAGTCATCAGACTTTCTAAGGTTACCATGAAAGAAAAGATGTTAAAGATACATAGAGAAAAGTGGCAAGTCACCTACAAATGAAACCCAATCAGGCTAACAGTGGACCTTTCAACAAAATCCTACAAGCCACAGGAGATTGGAGGTCTATATTCAGCACTATTAAAGAAAACAAGTTCCAAACAAAAATTTCATATTCAATCAAACTAAGTTTCATAAGCAAAGGAAAAATAAGATCCATTTCAGATAAGCAAATGTATGTGAATTTGTAACCTACCACCACGTCAGACTTACAAGAGGTCATCAAAGGAGTGCTAAATATGGAAAGGAAAGATTGTTATTGGCCACCACAAAAATTCACTTGTGTTCATAGGCCATTGAAACTTTAAATCAATCATGGGATCAAGTCTACATAATAACCAGCTAACAAGATGATGACAGAATCAAAAGTGCACATATCAATATTAAACTTGAATGTAAACAGGGTAAATGACCAAATTAGAAGGCACAGAGTGGTAAGTTGCATAAAGAAGCAAGACCCAATTGTATGCTGTCTTCAAGAGACACATCTCACAGCCAATGACATGCATAGGCACAAAGTAAAGGGATGTAGAAAAATCTACCAAGAAAATTCCCCCAAAATTGGAGGTTGTTATTCTAATTTCAGACAAAACAGACTTTAAACCAACAATGATTTTAAAAGACAAAGAAGGGCATTACATAAGGGTAAAAGGTTCTATTCAACAAGAAGACTGAACTTTCCTAAAAATATATGCCACTCAACACAGTGGCACCTGGGTTAATGAAGTAAGTCCTTAGAGATCTATGATGAGATTTAGATCATGACAAAATATAAAGATGAGAACACTCCACTGAGATTATTAGACAGATCATCTAGGCAGAAAACTAACAAAGATACATGAGACCTGAACTCAACACTTGACTAAACAGACCTAACAGACATCTATAGAACCCTTAGCCTCCAACCCAATAGGATATACATTCTTCTCATCTGCATATGGCACATATTCTAAAATCAACCACAGAATCAGCTATAAAGAATTCTCAGCAGAGTCAAAAACACTAAAATCATGCCAACCACACTCTTGGATTACAGAGCAATAAAAATAGAAATAAATACTAAGAAAATCACTTGAAACCATACAATTATATGGAAATTAAACAAAGAAAACCCCATAGTCTCTGCCCCAAAGCTCCAAATCTGATAAAGAACTTCAGCAAGGTTTCAGCATACAAATCAATTTACAAAAGTTAGTAACATTCCTATACACCTACACTGAAGCTGAGAGCCAAATCAAGAACACAATCCCATTCACAGTAGCCACAAAAATAATAAGATACCTAGGAATATAACTAACCAAGAGGTGAAAGATCTTTACTATAAGAATTACAAAACACTGCTCAAAGAAATCAAAGCTGACAAAAACAAGTGATAAAACATTCCATACCCATGGACAGGAAGAATCAATATTGTTAAGATGGCCATACTGCCAAAAACAATTTACAGATTCAATCTTATTTCTAACTACTAATGATATCTTTCAGATAGTTAGACAAAGCCATTTTAAAATTCATATAGAACAAAAAAAAAAAAAGAGCTCAAAGTGCCAAGGCAATCCTAAGCAAAAAGAACAAAGCTAGAGGCAACATATTACCTGGTTTCAAGCTATACCACAGGGCTACAGAAACCAAAACAGCATGGTACTGGTACAAAAACAGACACATAGATCAATGGACCAGCACAGAGAACCCAGAAATAAGACCACACAGCTACAACTAACTGATGTTCGACAAAAGTGACCAAAATGAGCAATGGGGAAAGGATTCCCTACTCAATAAGTAGTGCTGGGATAACTGGCTAGCTATATGCAGAAGATTGAACATGAACCTATTCCTTTCATTATATACATAAATCAACTAAAGATGGATTAAAGTCTTAAAAATAAACCTAAAACTATAAAAAGCTCTAGATGAAAACCTAAGAAATACCATTCTGGACATAGGCTCTGGCAAATATTTCATACAAAGACACCTAAAGCAATCACAACAAAAGCAAAAATTGACAAATGGGACTTAAATACATTAAAGAGCAGCTTCTTCACAGCAAAAGTAACTATCCACAGAGTAAACAGATCACATAAAGGATGGGAGAAAATATTGACAAACTATGCATCTGACAAAGACCTTATATCCAGAATTCTATAAGCAAGTCAAGCAAATTAGAAAGCAAAAAATAAAAAAAAATTAAAAGAGGGCAAAGTACATAAAGTGACACTTCTCAAAAGAAGACACATATATGGCCAACAAGCACATGAAAAAATGCTCAACATCACTAATCATTAGAGAAATGCAAATCAAAACCACAATTAGATATCATCTCACAACAGTCAGAATGGCTGTTATTAAAAAGTAAAAAATTACAGATGTTGCTGAGGCTGCAGAGAAAAGCACTTTTGGTGGGAATGTTAAATTAGTTCTGCCATTGTGGAAAGCAGCTTGGTGATTCCTCAAAAAACTTAAGGCAGAATTACCATTCCACACAGCAATCCCTTTATTGGGTATATACCCAAAGGAATAGAAACCGTTTTACAATAAATACATATGCATGTGTATGTTCATTGCAGCACTATTCACAACAGCAGAGAAATGGAATCAACCTAAAATCCATTAATGGTAGACTGGAGAAAGAAAATGTTGTACATATATATCATGAAATACTACACAACTGTAAAAAATAACCAGATTATGTCATTTGCAGCAACACAGATGGCGCTGGAGGAACCAACAGAGGAACTTACGCAGAAACAGAAAACCAAATGCTGCATGTTTTCACTTTAAAGTGGGAGCTAAGCATTGATTAAACATGGACATAATAAAGAGAACAATAAACGCCAGGGCCTATTTGAGGGTGGAGGGTGGGAGGATGGTGAGAAATGAAAAACTACCTATAGTGTACTATCCTTATTACTGAGGAGATGAAATAAACTGTATACCAAATCCCCATGACATGCAATTGTCTATATAACATCTGTAATCTTGAACCTAAAGTAAAATTTATAAAAAAATAAATAATTATAATATAAAAAGTGGGATGAGGAAACAGATTGCCAGTTTGAATCTTGCCCCACTTTTTTGCACTCTTTTTCCCAGTTGAAAAATGGACATCATGACAGTGCCAGTATTACAGTTTTGTTGTGAGGATTAAGGGGGTTAATACAGGTGTAGCTTATTTTATTGTGTTTCCCCTTATTGCACTTCTCAGATATACATATTTACAAATTTAAAGTTAGTGGCAACCCTTCCTCAAGAAAGTCTTTCAGTGACATTTTTCCTAAATGAACTGTGCTCACTTTGTGTCTCCATGTCACATTTTTTTGTAATTCTTGTGATATTTCTAACTTTATTAGTATTATTATATCCGATTATTATTATATCTATTAAGATGATCTGTGATCAGTAATCTTTGATGTTACTATTATAATTGCTTTGAGGCACCACAAACTGCACCCATAAATAATGGTGAACTTAATTGATAATTGTTGTGTGTGTTCTGACTGTTTCAATGGCCAGGTGTTACCCTCTCTCCCTCTACTTGGGCCTCCCTATTCCCTGGGACATAACAATATACAAATTAGGCCAGTTAATAACACCAAAATTGACTTTAGGTGTTCAACTCTTTCACTTTAAATCAAAAGTCCAAAATGTTTAAGCTTAGTAAAGAAGGCATGCCAAAAGTTAAGATAGGTCAAAAGCTAGGGCTCTTTTGCCAGTTAGCCAAATTGTGAATATCAAGGAAAAGTTCTTGAAGGAAATTGAAAGTGTTACTCTGAACGCACCAATGATAAGAAGAATAAGCAGACTTATTGCTGATATGGAGAAAGTTTGAGTGATCTGAATAGAAGATCAAAGTAGCCACATCATTGCCTTAAACTGAAACCTAATCCACAACAAGGCCCTAACCCTCTTCAATTCAATGAAGACAGAGAGATGAGAAAGCAGCAGGAAAAAAGTTTGAATTTTGCAGAGGTTGTTTCAATGAGATTTAAGGAATGAAGCCATCTTCATAACATAAAAGTGCAAGGTGAAGCATCAAGTGCTGAGGGAGAAGCTGCAGCAAGCTGCTGAAGATTGTGTTAATTAATGAAGGTAGCTACACTACACAACAGATTTTCAATGTAGATGAAATAGCCTTCTATTGGAAAAGAAGGCTTTTTCCAATAGAAAAACTGCACATGTGGTGGATGTACCAAGAGAACTAGATTAGAAGTGGAGACTGAAGGTTTGCCTGAATTGCTGTAATCTCATGATAAAACTTGAGCAGATGAGTTGGTTTTTATGGATGAGCAAAGAAATTGGTTTCTTGAGGTGGAATCTACTCCTGGTGAAGATGCTGTGGAACATTTTTGAAATGACAACAAAGGACTTAGAATGTTACATAAACTTGGCTGATAAAGTGGTGGCAGAGTTTGAGAGGATTGACTCCAAGTGTGAACGTTCTACTGTGGGTAAAATGCTATCAAACAGCATCACGTGCCACAGAGAAATCTTTCATGAAAGGAAGAGTCAATTAATGAGGCAAATGTTACCATTGTCTTATTAAAAATTTCCTCAGGCACCTCAACCTTCAGCAACCACCATGGTATTCAATCAGCAGCCATCAACACTGAGACAGAACACCAACCAAGAAAAACACTGCAATTTGCTGAAAGCTCAGATGATTATTAGCAGTTTTTAGCAATAAAGTATTTTAAATTTAGACACGTACATTTTTAGACCAAAAAATAGTCTATTTCACTCTTAGTAGACTATAGTACAGTGTAAATATAACTTTTATATGCAAGGGGAAACCAAAAAAATCATGTAACTCGCTTTATTGTGATATTTGCTTCATTGTAGTGGTCTGGAACTGAACTCAGTATCTCTGAGGTATACCTGTACATATGAAGTGCTTAAAACAATATTCAGCATGTATTAAACGGTCTATAGATATATCTATTGTTACTATTGTTTGACTTTAGAAAATTATCACACTTGGGTGTCTTTTTTTATCACTTCATATTATGTGTGTATATGCATGTGTGTATATGTGTGCAGCAGTATAAGTGGATATTTCAGGATGTCAGTTTTCAATTTCCTGCTGGCTTTTGAAAGGCTACTTAAAACATGTATGAAAAAATTATTCTAACATTGATGACTGAATTTCTGTATCTTTAATAGATGACAATTTTCTTCATTCATTCAAACAACCTGAGGCACTATATTTCCCTTATACATTTCTTACTGTAAAAAATTCTAAAA
This sequence comes from Homo sapiens, assembly GCF_000001405.40. Taxonomy (NCBI): domain Eukaryota; kingdom Metazoa; phylum Chordata; class Mammalia; order Primates; family Hominidae; genus Homo; species Homo sapiens. The sequence continues at coordinate 4,931,571 of NC_000024.10, read as the reverse complement.
TAGTATATGACTACATAAAGATATTCATAAATGTTTATGGGTATCAATATAAGATGTTACTTTTTGAAGGAGTTAATCATTCTCTTTAGTTGAATGGCAAGTTTATTATTTTAAATAATCTTATAACTTTTACTTGTGTATAAGACTGTTTAGAGTTTAGACTGTAGGCTAGATGAGAGGTTATCTAACATCTTTATAGTGAGGAACTGACATTTAGAAACTCATAACAATGAGGATTGTGTTAAAAGATTGTAATAGAATATAAGCTTCAATTTCATGTGTATGATAAGTTTAACCACTATTCTTTAAAATAGTTATGCTTGACTTTTGGCCTTGCTGGCATTTGTAATTCACCATATAGAGGCTGATTTTGAAAAACATCACGTTTTCTGTGAATAAGCATTCTTTATGTTGAATTCTCCTCAGTTTTCATGGTTCTTTTATATCCAGTTTTCTTCTTTCATGCATTCAGAATTTACTTCTGTCTCAATAAATATATTCATAATCCTAAAATATTTTCTTAAAACTCCAGTCTGCAATGGATTTATCATCAGAGAGGAAGAAGCTTTCGTCACTGATATAAATAGATTTACTTTAGAAATTTCAAGTAGATTATGATAGCCACTAATAGCCAATAACATTTCTTAATAATTTCAACTTTTATTTTAGATTTGGGGGTATGTGTACAGGTTTGTTACCTGGGCATATTGCATGATGCTGAGGTTTGAAGTACAATTGATCCCATAACCCAGGTACTGAGGATAGTACTCAACCTACTACTAATACTCAACTTTTCAACCTGCCCCCTTGCTCTACACCCCCCCACAGTAGCCCCCAGTATCTATTTTTGCCATCCTTATGTCCATGAGTACCCATGGTTTAGCTCCCACTTTTAAGTGATAACACGTGGTATTGGTTTTCTGTTCCTGTGTTAGTTTGCTTAGGATGATGGCCTCCGGCTCCATCCAGGTTGCTGGAAAGGACAAGATCTCATTTTTTTATGGCTGTGTAGTGTTCCAGGGTGTATATGTACTATATTTTCTTTCTCTGATCCACCATTGATGGGCACCTACATTGATTTCATGTCTTTGCTATTATGAATAGTGCTGTGAGTAATATACAAGTGCATGTATCTATTTGGTTGAATAACTTATTTTCTTTTGGGTGTATACCCAGTAATGGAATTGCTGGGTCAAATGATAATTGTTTTAATTTCTTTGAGAAATCTCCAAACTACTTTGCACAGTTGTTGAACTGATTTATACTCCCACCAACAGTGTATAAATTTCCTTTTCTTTGCAACCTTGCCGACATTTGTTATTTTTTGACCTTTTAATAATAACTATTCTGACTGTTGTGAGATGGTATCTCATCATGGTTTTGATTTGCCTTTCTCTAATAATTGGTTATGTTGAGCAATTTTCATATGCTTTTTAGCCATCAGTATGTCTTCTTTTGAGAACTGTCTGCTCATGCATTTTGCCCAATTTTTAATGTGATTATTTGTTTTTTGCTCCTTAAGTGACTTACAGATTTTGGATATTAGACTTTTGTCAGATGCATAGTTTGTCAATATTTTCTCACACTCTACAGATTGTCTGTTTACTCTGTTGATAGTTTCCTTGAGTATAGAAGCTTTTTGGTTTAATTGGATCCCACTTATCAATTTTCGTTTTTGTTGCAATTTCTTTTGAGGACTTAGTTATAAATTCTTTCCTAAGGCTGATGTCCAGAATGGTGTTTCCTAGGTCTTCTTCTAGGATTACTCTCATTTGAGGTCTTACATTTAAATGTTTAATCCATCTTATGTTAATTTTTGTATATGTTGAAAGGTAGAGGTCCACTTTAATTCCTCTGCACGTGGCTAGCCAGCTGGCCCAGCACTATTTTTTGAATAGAGAGTTGTTTACCTGTTGCTCATTTTTGTCAACTTTGTCAAAAATCAGGTGACTGTAGGTGTGTGGCCTTATTTCTGGGTCCTGTAATCTCTTCCCTTAGTGTATGTATCTTTTTGTAAAAGCATCATGCTGTTTTGCTTACTGTAGCCTTATAGTATAATTTGAAGTCTGGTAATATTATGCCTCCAGCTTTTTCCTTTTTGCTTGGGATGACTTTGGCTACTTGGACTGATATCTGATTCCATATGAATTTTAGAAAGTTTTTCTTAGTTGTGTGAAAAATGACTTTAGTGTTTTAATAGAAATAAAGTTGAATCTATGTATTGCTTTGGGTACTATGGTTATTTTAATATTGTTCTTTCAATCCATGGGCATAGAATTTTTTTTTCATTTGTTTCTGACATCATTTATTTCTTTCAGCAGTGTTTTGTAGTTCTCCTTGTAGAGATCTGTCACCTTCTTGGTTAGATGTATTCTAGGATATTTTAATTTTTTGTGGCTATTTTAAATGGGATTGTGTTCCTGATTTGGCTGTCAGCTTGAATGTTATTAGTGTTTAGAAATGCTACTGATTTTTGTATGTTGATTTTGTTTCCTGAAATTTTATTAAAGTTGTTTATCAGTTCCAGGAGGTTTTTGATGGAGTCTTTAGAGTTTTCTAGGTATAGATCATATCATCAGTGAAGAAAGATAGTTTGACTTCTTATTTTCCTATTTGGATGTCTTTTTTACTTTCTGTTGCCCCATGGCTGTGGCATGAACTTCCAGTACTTTGTTGAATAGGACTGGTGAGAGTAGATATCACTGTCTACGTTCTGGATCTCAAGGGAAATGCTTCCTGTTTTTATCCATTCAGTGTGATGTCTGTGGGTTTGTCATAGATGGCTCTTATTATTTTGAGGTATGTTCTTTTGATATCCAGTTTCTTGAGGGTCCTTATCATGAGAGAATTTTGCATTTTATTGAAAGCTTTTTCTGGATCTATTAAAATGAACATATGGTTTTTATTTTTTAATTCTGTTTATTTGGTGAATCACATTTATTGATTTTTGTATGTGAAGCAACCTTGCATCACAGGAATGAAGGCTGCTTGATCATGGTGAATTACCATTTTGATATATGGTTGGATTCAGTTTGCTAGTATTTTGTTGAGGATTTTTGCATTGCTGTTCATCAGGGATATTGTCCCATAGTTTTCCATTTTTCATTGTGTCTTTGCCAGGTTTTGTATGAGAGTGATGCTGGCTTCATAGAATGAGTTAGAAAGGAGTTCCTCTTCCTCAATTATTTTGGTACCAGCTTTTCTTTGTACATCTGGTAGAATTCAGCTGTGATTTCATCTGATCCAAGACTTTTTTGATTCATAGGTTCTTTATTCCTGATTCAATTTTGGAGCATCCTAGTAGGCTGTTCAGTGTTTCAATTTTTTTTTCTGATTTAATCTTGGGAGATTATTTGTTTCCAAGAATTTATCTGTTTCCTCTAGATTTGGTAGTATGTGTGCATAGAAGTGTTCATAACTGTCTCTGAAGATCTTTTGTATTGCTGTGGGATCAGTTGTAATGTTTCCTTTGTCATTTCTGATTGTGTTTATTTGGATTATCTCTCTCTCTGTCTCTTCCCCTCTCTCTGTTAATTTAACTAGCAGTCAATTGGTGCTGATGATCTCTTCAAATAATCAACTTTTGGTTCCTTTGATGCTTTGTAAGGATTTTAGGGTCTCAATGTTGTTCAGTTCTGCTCTGATTTTAGTTATTTCCTTTCTTCTGCTATCTTTGAAGTTAGTTTGTTCTTGTTTTTCTACTTCCTACAGGTGTGATAATAGATAATTAATTCAAGATATTTTTTCTATGGTAGGCATTTAGCACTATACATTTTCCTCTCAACATTCCTTTTGCTGCATCCCTGACGTTTTGTATGTTGTGTCTCTGTTTTCATTTATTTCAAATAATTTTTTGGTTTATGCCTCAATTTCATTGTTTACCCAAAAGTCATTCAGGAGCAAAGTGTTTAATTTTCATGTAATTGTGTAGTTTTGAAAGATCTTCTTTGTATTGCATTTTGTCTTTATTCCACTGTGGTCCAAGACAATGGTTGGTACTACTTCAAGTTTTTTGAATTTACTAAGGCTCGCTTTATGGCTGAGCATGTTGTCTGTATTGGAGTATGCGCCATGTGCATATGAGAATAATGTACATTCTGTAGTAAATGAGTGGAATATTCTATAGATTTCTATTAGGTCCAATTGGTCAAGTGTTGAATTTCAGTCCAGAATTTCTCTGTTAGTTTTCTGCCTTTATGATCTGTCTGAGGCTGTCAGTGGTATGGTGAAGTTCCACACTATTGTTATGTGGCTGTCTAGGTCTTTTTGTAGGTCTAGAAGTACTTGTTTTATGAATCTGGTTGCTCCAATGTTAAGTGCATATATATTAAGGATAGTTGATTCTTCTTGTTGGATTAAACCCTTTATCATTATGTATGCTCTTCTTTGTCCTTTTTTACTGTTGTTAGTTTAAATTGTGTTTTATCTGTTATAAGAATAGTGATTCAGGCTGGGCGCAGTAGCTTGTGCCTGTAATCCCAGCACTTTGGGAGGCTGAGGCAGGTGGATTACCTGAGGTCAGGAGTTCGAGACCAAACTGGCCAACATGATGAAACCCCATCTCTACTAAAAATACAAAAAAAAATTGGTTGGGCATGGTGGTGGGCTCCTGTAATCCCAGCTACTTGAGAGGCCTGAGGCAGGACAATCACTTGAACCCAGGAGGTGGAGGTTGCAGTGAGCTGAGATCGTGCCACTGCACTCCAACTAGGGCAACAAGAGTGAAACTCCGTCTCAAAAAAAAAAAAAAAAAAAAAGAAGAAGAATAGTGATTCCTACTTTTTTATGTATTCTATTTGCATGTATCGATTTTTCTCCAACCCTTTTTTTTATTATACTTTAAGTTCTAGGGTACATGTGCACAATGTGCAGGTTTGTTACATATGTATACATGTGCTCCAACCCTTTACTTTGAGTCTGTGTGTGTTGTTATGTGTGAGGTCCATCTTTTGAAGAGAGAAGATGAATGGGTCATTTTTTTTAAATTTAACTTGACACTCTGTGCGTTTTACTTGGGATGTTTAGACCATTTATATTCAAGGTTAATGTTGATATGTGAGATTTTGATCTTGTTGTGAAGTTGTTAGTTGGTATCTTTGTAGTTTCTATTGTATAGTTGCTTTATAGGATCTGTGGGCTATGTACTGAAGTGTGTTTTCTTGGTAGCAGGTATTATTCTTTCATTTCAGTGTTTAGAACTTTTATAAGGATCTCTATAAGATTGGTTTAGTGATAACAAATTCCTTAGCACTTGCTTGTCTGGAAAATATTTTATTTCTTATTTCCTTATAAAGCTAAGTTTGGCAGAATATAAAATTCTTGGTTGGGCCGGGCGTGGTGGCTCACGCCTGTAATCCCAGCACTTTGGGAGGCCGAGGCGGGCGGATCATGAGATCAGGAGATCGAGACCATCCTGGCTAACACGGTGAAACCCCATCTCTACTAAAAATACAAAAAATTAGCTGGGTGTGGTGGCGGGTGCCTGTAGTCCCAATTACTTGGGAGGCTGAGGCAGGAGAATGGCGTGAACCCAGGAGGTGGAGTTTACAGTGAGCTCGAGATTGCACCACTGCACTCCAGCCTGGGCAACAGAGCGAGACTCCATCTCAAAAAAAAAAAAATTCTTGGTTGGATTTTCTTTTCTTTAAGAATGCTGAAAATAGGCCCTCAATCTCTCTCGGCTTACAAGGATTCTGTTGAGAAGTCTGCTGCTAGCCTGATGGGATTCCTATTGCATATGATCTGACCTTTTCTTCTAGCTACCTTCAAGATTTTTTCTTTAGCATTGACCTAGGATAGTCTGATGACTATATGCCTTGGCGATGTTTGTTTTGTATAGTATCTCACAGGTGTTCTCTGAATTTTTTGTATCTTGATGTCTGCCTCTCAAGAAAGATTAGGAAACTTTTCTTGAATTATTCTCTCAAACATGTTTCCAGGTTGTTTGTTTTCTTTTTCTCCTTCTCTCTCAGGAATGCCAACCATTTGTAGATTTGGCCACTTTACATAATCCCATATTTCTCAAAGACTTTGTTCATTTTCAAAAATTCCATTTTTCTTTATTTTTGTCAGATTGGGTTAGTTTGAAAGACTAGGCTTCAAGTTCTGAAATTATTTCTTCTACTTGTTCCAGTCTATTGATAAACCTTTCAATTGTATTTTGAAATTTTAAGTGAGCTTTTCAATTCCAGAAGCTTTGATTGATTTCTTTTTAAGATTTATATCTATTCCTTCATTTCATGGATTGCTTTAGAAGTTGCTTTGTGTTGATTTTCAACCTTATCTTGGATCTCATTGAGTTTCCTTACAATCCATGCTTTGAGTCTTTTATTTGTCATTTCTGCATTTATATTTTGGTTAGGAATTATTGCTGGAGAGCTAGTGTGAGCCCTTGGTGGTATTAGTGTATTCACATATTTTTATGGTGCCAGAATTCTTGCACTGGTTCTTTCTGATCTGAAGATGCTGACACTTCTACTTTTTGAAGTTATTTTTGTGCAGGTAGGATTTTTCTCTTTTTCCCTATAATATTATTGTTTTTTTCTTTTTTCAGTTTCTCTTTCTCCCTCTCCCTTGGGGATGTGACTGTAGAGAATGCTGGGTAGTGTGTTTTGGCTTTGCTTCCGTAGCCTCATGCAATTCTGTCAGCAGGTTTTATATTGGACTGTGCAGTTTGACCAATAAGCCAGTAGGTGACGTTTCTGGGTAAGAGCCCACACTGGCCGATGTGGCTGGGTATATACTTGATCCTTGTTTACTGATAGAACCTCTCTGTCGCCTCAGGCAATGGCTGATTCTTAGAGTGCACAGCCGTCTGAGCTTACTTCTTAACTCCAGAGGGTTGGGGGGGCAAGATTGATGGGGTCAGACTGGGCAGGTCCACGTACTGGTGTCCTGATGGGAGGGACAAGCACTAGTACTGAATGAGAATCCACTGGGCAGCCACCAAGTGCCCAGAGATGTGTCTAGGTATGAAGCTGGGAAACCTCCCTAATCTCAAGATATCTGCACAAGGATAGGGGTATCCTAAACTCCTACTCCAGGAGGGTGGATGTTCCATATGCCTGGAGATTTGCTTGGACATGAAGTTGAGAGGATTCTCTGCACCAAGATCTCTGCACAGAAGTGAGGAGAAACTCAGGATGCTGAACCAAACAAGTAGGTGCTCTGAATGCCTGGAGATGTGCCTGGGCACAGAGCCCAGAGGGCCCTGCTGCACCACAATCTATGCACCGGAAGGGTGGAGCAATTCAGGTTGCTGATCCAGGTGAGCAGGTGCTATGCATACCTGGAGATGTACCTAGTTTTGAAGCAGAGAGGGGCTCGCTGAACCGCAATCTATGTCCATGAAAAGCGGGGCAGCTCAGGCTGTTGGTCCAGGAAAGTGGGTGATTTGAGAGTCTGGATTTCTGTTTGTGGGTGAAGCAGAGAGGGTTTTTCTGTACCGCAAGTTCAGGGGAGCAGGATGGGATACCCAGCAATGACACACACATATTGGTTCCAGGTTGCCAAGCTGGCCCTGGATGTAATTATCATTGTCCAGGAGAAATTGCAGCTGTAGCAGCTCTCCTCCCACTCAAAGTATGCAATAGGGGAGAGCACAATTCCAGCACCTGATGCTGAGGCAGTTTCCACAGTTCTGGCTGAGGAGGCCCCTACCCTACACCAGAGCAGGCCCTCCAAACTCTGGCCTGAAACTAAAATGTCTACACGGCCACGCTTCTGGGTTGCCACAGAATGGCTGACTTTGCATGAGCCCGGATTAAAAATGCCATCCTGATCTCAGCTCTGGGTCTTGGAAAATGAGTGCAGCTTTTCCTAGTGTCTTTCTCTCACAGCGTCTTTATGCCTCTCGCCAAGTTAGTTCCAAGACTTGGGAGAAAAAAAAGGGTGCTCTTTGGCCTAGGTTGCTCAGATTCCCCCGAGGAAAGGTGAGTCAAAGAGGGAGGCTTCTGCCTCTCTCATGTACTGGGGCTTCACTCACTTTTATCAGCCAGACATTGACAGAGGGGCTGTTTTCCCATGATCTCATCCCCAGGATTTGGGGTGTCCTTCATGACTCTGGTGTACTCCCATTTCCCTTCTTGTATTAAAGCACACAGTGTTTATCTTTATGAACTCTCTTGGTATTTCCAAGTGGCTGAGGCAAGCTAAAAGCCTCTAATGTGCCATCTTGAAAGAAAAACAAATAACATTTTAAATTATCTGTCATTTATTTGTCCATTAAAGCATTTAATAATTTTTAATATTTAGTTTAGATATATTTGTTGTATAAAATATATAAAACAACTCAATGTGTTTTAAGCCATTTAAATTTAAATTAATAAAAATTAAATTTAATACAATTAAATTTAATAAATTTAAATTTAAATCCATAAACTTAAATATACTAGATTATTTAACCATGACTTTCATTACATGTATATAAAATATATATAACAATACAGCTTATATATAATAATTACATAAATTAAAATTTCACTATATTATTTCATGTATTTGTTATAAAATTTACACTAGGGCCTTGATTTTACATTTACAATACTCATTAGTTATTGCATGTGGAAGTTTTATTTTCCTTAGTGTGGATATTCAGGATTTCCATGTTTAATTATTTATCATGGCGTCTTTTAGCAAACCCAAGCTATGGTTCATGTAAAACAGGAAGAGTATTTTTAATGAAAAAACACCATTAGGAAACCTTACTTCATTAGCAATGTATTTTCTGATACTTCTTACATTTTAATTTCAGATATGTCTCTCCTGTGTCTCAGTTTCCATTTTATTTCCAAATATCCAACTATGGGGTCTATCAATCAAGATCAGTTTTTAGTAGTGATTTGTATTGTATCTACAATACAAATAATTTGAAAGGTAATGCATTTTTGCTAAGTGAGGAGTTTGCAGAAAGTTAATTACAGTTACCTCTAAACCAGTAGAATAAACCATGAAGGGAAATTCTTGTTTTTTTTTTTTTTCATTTGTTGAGAATGAAGTACACTCTGAAATCAATTGATATGGAAAAATAGAGCAGATATGGTTTTATTTTGTTCTTGTTCCTTCCATAAATCCCAACCTAGCTTTTCTCTAGGCTAAAAGATGCACTGAGAGGATGATCTATGTTAGTTAAAGAAGAGATAGAAGAAACGGTTATACGGGTAGGTTAACTCAGACTCAACCTCAGAAATACAGCTACGTATTCAAAAATAAAAGTAGAATTTTTTTTCTATTCTTCATATCTCCTTACTTATCTATTACCTCCTTAAGCACTAAGTCCAGATCATGTGTGTCCTGTAATAATTTTCTTTACAGTGGATATAATTTGCTACAAATGTTTTTTTAATACTAGATTACATATTCAAATTGCTATGATGCTCTTTCTTGAGATAAATGTGTTCCAGTAAAGCATACATTTTACATTTTAAAACTGATTTTAGAGAATCTTGAGAGTCTCCCAATTTATATGCCATAGCATTAATCAGGATTCCTGGGTAATTCGAGTTGCTGGGTTAACAGAAATAACTAGCATCCCTGTAATACATTGTTCTTTGAAGAATACTCCTATGTATTTATTGTTTTATGAGATCCTCATAACTGCCCTATGGAAGACAAAAATTTTAGTATCTAAATTTTATGGAAGAGGAAATTGATGCTTGGTGAGTGTAAATGATACGAAGCAGGATTGAAACTAGAAATGTTTTGTGCTCTTATGTTACTTCACCTGAATGACCAGAGTTCACTATAATTCCCTAGATCATTGACTGGTTTATGTATAATGTGTCACATGTCCAAGGAATTTCACAGGCTCTTGCATTATTTTCTGCAACATAATCTATTGCAGTAACCAGTATTTTCATCATTTTCCATATTGCTGAAAATAATACTGCCATACACTTGCAAGATATTAGATAATGTTAAGTAAATCTACTTGGAAATGCTTTATAAAAAAGATTAATAACACAAATTTGAAGTTGAGTTCTAATGTGGTCATAACAGTGAATTTAAGAATGAGTATATATGTGAGGGAAACAGGTATGTGAGATTGTCGAATGAAGACTACAGATTAATTTAGTTGGTTTCCCTTGCTTTAATTCCCATAAACTCTACTGTGGCTTTTTCTATACATTACATTCTTTGGCCTGGCTGTACTTAGGAAACTTCATGCCAAACCCCTCTTTTTTCTCCATTGAATCGACTTTTCATCTGGCTATCTTAAAACAAGAGAGTATCAGATTTGAAAAATTCACATGATGTCTGCAAGACTGCTAGAGATTCCTACTATACTCATCACCTCCCCAATGTCCCTCCTCTGGTCATTATTCTCTTGTTCCCATTATTTTAGGGCTAAATGAACTTTAACCATATGTAACAACAACCCACTATTTGGCTCTTAGTTTTTGATCATTCAGATTTACCATCAAGACTTTACAAGAATATCTAATGAAACAAAAAATAATGAATTATTTCTAAAAAAAAATTTTTTTTTGGAAGTTGCAAGAAATAATTTGACATGGTTTGGCTGTGTCCCCACACAAATCTCATCTTGAATTGTAGCTCCGGTATTTTCCACATGTTGTGGAAGGGAGCCAGTGGGAGATAACTGAATCATGGGGGCCGTTTCACCCATACTGTTCTCATGGTAGTGAATAAGTCTCACGACAACTCATGGCTTTGTAAGGGGAAACCACTTTAACTTGGCTTTCATTCTCTCTGTTGCCTGCAGCCATGTAAGTTGTGCCTTTCACCTTCCACCGTGATTGTAAGGCCTCCCCAGCTACGTGGAACTGTGAGTCCATTAAACCTCTTCTTCCTTATAAATTACCCAGCCTTGGGTATGTCTTTATCAGCACCGTGAAAACAAACTAATAAAGAAATAAAAGGCAAAGAAAAGTGAAATTATAGTAATTTACTACTCCAGAGTTATCTCAAAATGATTACATATTCAATACTTTATTTGCTTTTATTAAAATTAAATAAAATAGTATAAACATGTATATTAAAATTGCAAAAATTAAAGTATGAAGTTATCTATGCTATCAGTAAATTAATAATTGCTTCTGTGTGAAGTAATATACATATCTCCTTAGAGTTAAAAAAGACCCAGTCCTACTGATCATCTTAATGAATAATTCACTCACCTATTCAGTAAAGTAGTTCTGGTGAATTCCTGTTTCTGAAAGCATAGAAAAAAATCACTTTTTGTTTCATTTATAAGTTTGAATAATAGGAAAATTATAATATTACTCTGAAGTTTTAAATGTTTCAACCAATAACTGATGTAAATCCTCATTCTGGGATACCATTATTCGGTCAGTTCAACAGTTTCCCTTTTATTAAATAAGTATGTAATCAATTGCAATTAAAAATACTATTCAGAGCTTTAAGAAATCAAAAGCATTAGCTTTAATTGAATCAGTCATTGTCTAACAATGGCTACACTATAAATGACATCAAAAAATAACATAAAAGCAGATTCTGTAAGTCTTTTCAGAAGCAGCAGCCATTGCACTTATAAATAGTGTAGAAATGCTGGATACCTTTGGGTTTTTTTTTTTAATTTGTTTGTTGAAAGCAATTTTACTGAGTTTCTCTTATCCATCTGGATACATTAAAATTAAAATATTGGTGTCCTCTTTTAGTTGTAACAAATTTGTTTCAGACATAGTGTACTGAAAAGTAGTTTCTCTTATGCTTAGTTTCTTTGTCCTACTTTGAAGGCAAATTCTTCCTCTTCTTTTTAAACCTCTTCTTCATTTTATTTTCTTTATGTTTTTATAAATTAGGGATAATAATGTATTATAAAGAAGTGACAAGATAATAAGTGTGCATCTTTTGTTTCTTCTGAAAATCTACTCTGAACCTCTTCCCTACCCCACTTCTAAAATTGTTCCATATACAAAAGGATAAATGAATGCTGAGTTCTACCTTTGATTCCAAATTTTTCATTCTAGGTAAATTATTATTATTAAAATATTTTTCCTGGCAATAATCTTCACTTTTATTTAATAGACTTGGTCTCAGATTTGTATGATTCTACCTTCTTTGAGCTTTTGTCTCTCCATCTGAGTAAAATTAACTACAAAAATTCCTCTTATCTACCAATTGAAAACTACAAGTATTAATGAGACAAGGAAACAATGTTCCAAATGAATACCAAGAAAATCTCTATGTAGTTTAAGCATAAAACATCATTAAAGAGTAAAAAATATTTGCTTCTTTTTGTTAACACCAAAATCAAGTACAGATTTGTCTTACCAGGATAAGAGATATACAGTAATGAACTCTGCTTTCTGGAAAACTATACCTTTAATCATTTGATGTATATCACTAAGAACATTTGCAACATATTCATTAGAAGTCAGAAAACAACTGTTAGAATTTCTTTGAATAACAGAAATATTTATTCAAAATAACAAGAAAAGTTCCAACACTTCAGCGGAATACCATCACATTTTTAATATTTGAGACCAAAATAATTGCTTTGGTTACGTATTAATATTTTTCTTATCATAGCAATTAAGTACAAATTAGAAAATCTCTAAATGCTGTGACATATTCTGATATAAATAATTACACTCAGATAATTCTACCTGATATATTTTAGCTAGAAAAGTAGAGCAAAGATTCAATTCAACATGGCATATAATGATGCACAGGATTTTTTCAAGAAAATTTTGATAAATTTACCAGACTACAACCTGCATAAGAACAAGGACAATGTTCCACTCATTTTAAAATATTTCTTTGGAGCACTGGAACTGAGATTGCTAATGGTGGTCCACAGTAAATACTAGCTATAGTTATCTTCAAAATGGAGGTAATAGTGGTATTTATGTTAGGGCTGTGTGCAATAAATGAGATAATGTGAATAAAATGCCTATCACAATCACTAGTTCTTAGTAAACATTCAATGAATGTTAGTAATGAAAATAATAACAGTATTAAATACAATGATAAACTATTCTATCAATGTGTTTTAGGGAAGTAAAACACTAATTAATGTATACTCTTTATATGAAAGCATGTTAATTATCCAAATATTTTAAAATCTAATATATCTTGCCAGAAGCTTTTATTCTGTTTCACCAAGATACAAACAGGATGCTACTGAATGAAAGAAAAATGATAGTATTCAGATTGTTAATTAACATACATGGATTTGATTTTGATTGATAAAATTGGATTGCTATGGTTAATTGTAATATGCTTAAAGTTAATTTTTTGATCCCTAACTATACTACACAGCCTTTACAGAGTAAAAATTATCACTGAAATAAGTTAATTTTCAGGCTTTCATCCTCAATATTGTGGATGTTTTTATTACTATTGCTATCAACAATCAACATTTTTCAATATTTTTAAGTTTCTTTTCTTTTTTTTTGTTTTTTTTCAGATTATTTTATTTTATTATACTTTAAGTTTTAGGGTACATGTGCACAATGTGCAGGTTAGTTACATATGTATACATGTGCCATGCTGGTGAGCTGCACCCATTAACTCGTCATTTAGCATTAGGTATATCTCCTAATGCTATCCCTCCCCCCTCCCCCACCCCACAACAGTTTTAATTTTCAATATAAGTTCAATCTACTTAAAATATATTTTAGTTATATTATATTTGTTGAATGTAACTATAACTGAGATAAAGGAATTTAGTATTCTGTGTTACTGATAACTATAGAATCAGACAAAATTTTAAATGGGCCATCCAAACTTACCAGCATTAATGCAGTATGTATTAGAGCAAAGTAGTTAAGAACAAAAGCTTGAGCTGAAGGTAGACATGGACGAGAGTACTGCCCTTTGTCCGTACCAACCGTTTCTCAGTTTCCTCATTGGCAAAATGTGAAAAATAATTTCATCTTCATTAAACAAAGTAATTCATTACATTGCTTCTCTGGTGAACTGATACATAGTAAAAATACAGTGTTAGTCATTATTATTTGAAGAAAGTCTCAGCTCTCATGATATGCTTGTGATGTATCACTAGTGTCACATTTCTGTGAATATTGATTAACTCTAAAACATTGTGATAAAATCTTGATTTTAATTATTCATTCCTGCATTTATCTTAACTTTGGTCACTTGAATAGTTTTGTATGTTTTCTTACCTGATTTTGAAAGGTAGATTTTGTATTGAATATAATTTTATTCCAACGCATTAAAGACTCATTCAGTGGGAATCTGGGAAAAATAACTAGTGCAACTGTATTAGCTAAATCATGTAGATAACTATATCTTGTCTTTTTAAATAATCAATTTGGTTTTTAGGGACATCAAGAATTAAAGTTTGGAAACCTCTAGATTTCAGAGGAGGTATGGAAACACCTGGATGTCCAGGCAGAGGAGTGCTGTAGGGGTGGAGTTCTCATGGAGAACCTCTGCTAGGACAGAGTGGAATGAAAATGTGGGGTGAGAGCCCCCAAACAGAGTCCCAATGGGGCACTGCCTAGTGGGGCTGTGAGAAGAGGGCTACCATCCTCCAGACCCCTGAATAGTAGATCCACTGACAACTTGCACCATGCACCACAGACACTCACAGACACTCAATGCCAGGCTGTGAAGGCAGCCAGGAGGGAAGCTGTACCCTGCAAAGCCACAGGGCTGTAGTTGCTTAAGGCAGAATGATATGGTTTGACTCTGTGTCCCCACCCAAATCTCACGTTGATTGTAATGCCCATAATCCCCATGTGTCATGGGAGGGACCCAGTGGGAGGTAATTTAATCATGGGGATGGTTACCCTCATGCTGTTCTCATGACAGTGAGTGAGTTCTCACAAGGTCTGACAGTTTTATAAAGGGCTTTTCCCCCTTTTGCACCATGCACCACAACTTGCACCATGCACCACTGACAACAAGCCACAGACACTCAATGCCAGGCTGTGAAGACAGCCAGGAGGGAAGCTGTACCCTGCAAAGCCACAGGGGTGTAGTTGCTCAAGGCAGAATGATATGGTTTGGCTCTGTGTCCCCACCCAAATCTCACCTTCATTGTAGTGCCCATAATCCCCATGTGTCATGGGAGGGACCCAGTGGGAGTTAATTTAATCATAGGGATGGTTACTCTCATGCTGTTCTCATGACAGTGAGTGAGCTCTCACAAGGTCTGACAGTTTTATAAGGGGCTTTTCCCCCTTTTGCTTGGCACTTCTCTCTCCTGCCACCTTGTGAAGAAGGATGTGTTTGCTTCCCCTTCCACTATGACTGTAAGTTTCCTGAAGCCTCCCCAGCCAGGTGAAACTGTGAGTCCATTGAACTTCTTCCCTTTATAAATTACCCAGTCTGGGGCAGTTCTTTATAGCAGTGTGAGAACAGACTAATACACCTTCTGTTTCAAGATAATGAGAGGCTTTTTTTTCTTTTAAATGGCTTCTACTGAAACTTTTGTGGTTGTTGTCTATCAGTTTTAAAGATCAGGGGTAAGGCCAGGCCTAAGGCTCAGAAAATGTTTACAGTTTTCTCAAATGATTTAAAATGGAATAAAGTGTTCTCAGTCAACAGTAGTAAAAGTTACAGAGATAATCTCTTTAGTGGGTCTCATCTAGTTCCTATGTATGCACAGTAAAATATGTCATAAAATACAGTAAGAAAGTTTTTACTTTAAGAGAAACTGCTAGCGGTCTATCATAAAGAAAAAAAGAGAGAAGAATAAAATAGACACAATAAAAAATGATAAAGGGGATATCACCACCAATCCCACAGAAATACAAACTACCATTAGAGAATACTATAAACACCTCTATGCAAATAAACTAGAAAATCTAGAAGAAATGGATAACTTCCTCAACACATACACCCTCCCAAGACTAAACCAGGAAGAAGTTGAATCTCTGAATAGATCAATAACAGGCTCTGAAATTGAGGCAATAATTAATAACTTACCAACCAAAAAAAGTCCAGGACCAGATGGATTCATAGCCGAATTCTACCAGAGGTACAAGGAGGAGCTGGTACCATTCCTTCTGAAACTATTCCAATCAATAGAAAAAGAGGGAATCCTCCCTAACTCGTTTTATGAGGCCAGCGTCATCCTGATACCAAAGCCTGGCAGAGACAAAACAAAAAAAGAGAATTTTAGACCAATATCCCTGATGAACATCAATACAAAAATCCTCAATAAAATACTGGCAAACCGAATCCAGCAGCACATCAAAAAGCTTATCCACCATGATCAAGTGGGCTTCACCCCTGGGATGCAAGGCTGGTTCAACATATGCAAATCAATAAATGTAATCCAGCATATAAACAGAACCAACGACAAAAACCATATGATTGTCTCAATAGATGCAGAAAAGGCCTTTGACAAAATTCAACAATTCTTCCTGCTAAAAACTCTCAATAAATTAGGTATTGATGGGACGTATCTCAAAATAATAAGAGCTATCTATGACAAACCCACAGCCAATATCATACTGAATGGGCAAAAACTGGAAGCGTTCCCTTTGAAAACTGGCACAAGAGAGGGATGCCATCTCTCACAACTCCTATTCAACATAGTGTTGGAAGTTCTGGCCAGGGCAATTAGGCAGGAGAAGGAAATAAAGAGTATTCAATCAGGAAAAGAGGAAGTCAAATTGTCCCTGTTTGCAGATGACATGATTGTATATCTAGAAAACCCCATTGTCTCAGCCCAAAATCTCCTTAAGCTGATAGGCAACTTCAGCAAAGTCTCAGGATACAAAATCAATGTGCAAGAATCACAAGCATTCTTATACACCAACAACAGAGAGCCAAATCATGAGTGAACTCCCATTCACAATTGCTTCAAAGAGAATAAAATACCTAGGAATCCAACTTACAAGGGATGTGAAGGACCTCTTCAAGGATAACTACAAACCACTGCTCAATGAAATAAAAGAGGATACAAACAAATGGAAGAACTTTCCATGCTCATGGGTAGGAAGAATCAATATCGTGAAAATGGCCATACTGCCCAAGGTAATTTATAGATTCAATGCCATCCCCATCAAGCTACCGATGACTTTCTTCACAGAATTGGAAAAAACTACTTTAAAGTTCATATGGAACCAAAAAAGAGCCCGCATCGCCAAGTCAATCCTAAGCCAAAAGAACAAAGCTGGAGGCATAACCCTACCTGATTTCAAACTATACTAGAAGGCTACAGTAACCAAAACAGCATGGTACTGGTACCAAAACAGAGATGTAGACCAATGGAACAGAACAGAGCCCTCAGAAATAATGCCACGTATCTACAACTATCTGATCTTTGACAAACCTGACAAAAACAAGAAATGGGGAAAGGATTCCCTATTTAACAAATCGTGCTGGAAAAACTGGCTAGCCATATGTAGAAAGCTGAAACTGGATCCCTTCCTTACACCTTATACAAAAATTAATTCAAGATGGATTAAAGACTTGACTGTTAGACCTAAAACCATAAAAACCCTAGAAGAAAACCTAGGCAATACCATTCAGGACATAGGCATGGGCAAGGACTTCATGTCTAAAACACCAAAAGCAATGGCAACAAAAGCCAAAATTGACAAATGGGATCTAATTAAACTAAAGAGCTTCTGCACAGCAAAAGAAATTACCATCAGAGTGAACAGGCAACCGACAGAATGGGAGAAAATTTTTGCAACAAGGCGAAGGATATGAACAGACACTTCTCAAAAGAAGACATTTATGCAGCCAAAAGACACATGAAAAAACGCTCATCATCACTGGCCATCAGACAAATGCAAATCAAAACCACAATGAGATACCATCTCACAGCAGTTAGAATGGCACCTAGAAACAACAGGTGCTGGAGAGGATGTGGAGAAATAGGAACACTTTTACACTGTTGGTGCGACTGTAAACTAGTTCAACCATTGTGGAAGTCAGTGTGGTGATTCCTCAGGGATCTAGAACTAGAAATACCATTTGACCCAGCCATCCCATTACTGGGTATATACCCAAAGGATTATGAATCATGCTGCTATAAAGACACATGCACACATATGTTTATTGTGACACTATTCACAATAGCAAAGACTTGGAACCAAGCCAAATGTCCAACAATGATAGACTGGATTAAGAAAATGTGGCACATGTACACCATGGAATACTATGCAGCCATAAAAAATGATGAGTTCATGTCCTTTGCAGGGACATGGATGAAGCTGGAAACCATCATTCTCAGCAAACTATTGCAAGGACAAAAAACCAAACACTGCATGTTCTCACTCATAGGTGTGAATTGAACAATGAGAACACATGGACACAGGAAGGGGAACATCACACACCGGGGCCTGTTTTGGGGTGGGAGGAGGGGGAAGGGACAGCATTAGGAGATATACCTAATGTTAAATGACGAGTTAATGGGTGCAGCACACCAACATGGCATATGTATATGTATGTAACTAACCTGCACATTGTGCACATGTACCCTAAAACTTAAAGTATAATAAAAAAGTAAATAAATAAATAAAAAGAGAAACTTGTGACCAAGGCATTAGAATGCTTCTCTTGGGTATTTAAGTTGCTGGACAGAGATTATACAAGAAGAGTTATTAGTAAAAGTTTCAGACCAATAACTACTATTTTTTCCCATTAATTGCTACTCTCAGTCACAATATACTCCATTATTTTAAATACTTTGATTATACCCTTTTCAAGTTATTGGGCCTAGTTATTGTATATGGGGACGAGAAGGAGAGAGAAGGTACACATGATTCTCACTGGCCTTATTGGATTTTACATATATCATTTCAAAGCCTGTATACTCTGGTTTAGGATTTTATTACTCCTTCTCAGGAATCATTTAGGAGCAAAAGTAAATAAATATATAAACTACTGTCTCCTTTGTCTTAGTCCTAGTCAGCTTGGCACAGTTTGCGTAATTGTAATACAATAAAATGTCAATTAAGAAGTACCTCAGAAGGATTGTTAACATTAGTTAGTCTCCTCTAGCTGACTTCTGGTGCTGCATCTGCAGAATCTATGAAAATAGGATTTTTCAATAGACTTATAACTCATTCATTAGTCAGAGTGCTACTTATTTAGACTGTCAGCAATTATACAAATTTTCAAGTAAGGTTTAAGCCAGTGATCAGTTATAGTTGAAATGCACAAGTAAGAAGCTATTATTGTGAGTTCAGCTCAGAATATTTTAATAATGTTTCTGGTTTCTGTACACTTCCTAGAAGAGGCTCATAAATTTGGCTCTAAGCATTTTCTCCAAAGTGGAAAAAGAAACAGTTTAAAAACACATTTATTCATTTATTTAAGAAATATTCATTGAACTCTGTTAAGATACTCCTTTAAAAGTCTCAGTGTACATAAAAATAAAAGCAAACTAATTTTTCAGGAGATGCATAACTCTTCCTGGGACTAAGGCCAGAGTGAAACTTCTTGTGTGGGCCATCATAAAGAGAATACTGTGTATGGCTCATTGTCCTGGGTTTGACATTGTTTCCAAATGTCACAGTTAAGAATCTTTTTTTTTTGTTATTATACTTTAAGTTCTAGGGTACATGTGCACAACGTGCAGGTTAGTTACATAGCACAACGTACAGGTTAGTTAGTTAGTATACATGTGTCATGTTGGTATGCTGCACCCATTAACTCGTCATTTACATTAGGTATATCTCCTATGCTATCCCTCCCCACTCCCCCCACCCCACAACAGGCCCCGGTGTGTGATGTTTCCTTTCCTGTGGTCAAGTGTTGTCATTGTTCAATTCCCACCTATGAGTGAGAACATGTGGTGTTTGATTTTTGTCCTTGCGATAGTTTGCTGAGAATGATGGTTTCCAGCTTCATCCATGTCCCTGCAAAGGACATGAACTCATCTTTTTTTGTGGCTGCATAGTATTCCATGGTGTATATGTGCCACATTTTCTTAATCCAGCCTATCATTATTGGACATTTGGGTTGGTTTCAAGTCTTTGCTATTGTGAATAGTGCTGCAATAAACATACATGTGCATGTGTCTTTATAGCAGCATGATTTATAATCCTTTGGGTATATACCCAGTAATGCGATGGCTGGGTCAAATGGTATTTCTAGTTCAAAAAAAAAAAAGAAGACTATTTCACCACCCTAAATCCTGGGCATGTTTTTCTGCATTTCGGGTGTAGGTTTTTAAGGTTTAAATTTATAATAGACACCCATTTCATCAAAATTGAAAATTTGATTTGTGTAATGTGGTAAGCATCATATTCAACAACATTCTTACAGTGAATAGAATAATGAATTTCAGAGGATAGTTTCTTATAATGTCCTTCACTGTAGGTTGATTTCCTAATGCCATGGCCAGTATAGGGAAAGCAATTTTGGGGAAATAAAAATGATTTGGCCCCATCATACAGCTCTCTCATTGACTGGCTTCCCCTGATGATAGATTTTAATGTTTAGTTAGTTCTTCTATAACACAACTTATAGTATTCTAAAAAACACCATATTTTTTTTTTCCAAAATTGTATAAGAAAAACCTGAGGGCTCATGAGAAAAATGAGGTTTGGGCACAATATTCAAACACTTTTTCAGTGACACATAAAAAATAAATAATAGAAATCTAATATATGTGGTAGCACAATTTCACATAAATGCTATAATATGGCACTTTACCTTGTGGAAGTAGGTTTCAGAAGGATTGCAGCTTGTGAGTTATTGTGAGGTTGTGTGGGGTGATTATCTGAAAGCAAATGCAAAGTTGTAGCAGGAGATGTGGATAGGTGTGTGTATTAGTCTGTTCTCAGGCTGCCTATAAAGGAATACCTGAGACTGGGTAATTATAAAGAAAAGAGGTTTAATGAACTCACAGTTCCACATAGCTGAGGAGGCCTCACAATCATGGTGGAAGGCAAGGAGGGGCAAGATACATATTACATGGTGGCAGGTAACAGAGGGTTTGTTCAGGGGAACTCTCATTTATAAAATCAGCAGATCTTGTGAAACTTACTCACTACCCTGAGAATAGTATGGGGGAAACTGCCCTCGTGATTCAATTATCTCCACCTGGCCCCACCCTTGACATGCGAGGATTATTACAATTCAAGGTGAGATTTGTGTGGGCACACAGGCAAATCATATCAGCACGGCTCATTGTCCTGGGTTTGGCATTGTTTCCAAATGCTGCAGTTAAAAATCTTTCACAGCCTTAAATCCTGGGCATGTTTTTCTGCATTTCAGGTGCAGGTTTTTAAGGTTTAAATTTATAATAGACACATATTTCATAAAAATTGTAAATCTGATTTGGCATATAGACTTCTTCAAGTAAGTTGTGAATCATTGCTGGGAATTATGTTGTGGATGTCTCATGTGCACCCATAGCTTATCCAGACAGCTGAAGGCTTTGAGAATTGTAGAGATGTTTGACAACACTAAAATAGCCACCCCTAGGACTCATTTTCCGAGATAAAAGAAGTCACTTCTGCAGGATTTAGCAAACTCTGTTTTTTTTTTTATTTTTCTTTTTTTTTTTTTTTGAGACGGAGTCTCGCTCTTGTTGCCCAGGCCGGAGTGCAATGCTGCGATCTCAGCTCACCGCAACCTCTGCCTCCTGGGTTCAAGTGATTCTCCTGCCTCAGCCTCCCCAGTAGCTGGGATTACAGGCATGCACCACCTTGCCCGGTTAATTTTTTTTTTTTTTTTGGTATTTTTTTTTAAGTAGAGACGGGGTTTCTCCATGTTGGTCAGGCTGGTCTTGAACTCCCAACCTCAGGTGATCCACCCGTCTCTGCCTCCCAGAGTGCTGGCATTACAGGCATGAGCCACCACACCCAGACTATTCTGTTTAAGGATGTTATCTATAGATAGTCTTTTATTTTTATGAGACAATTGTTCCCAATATTTTTCACTGTTGAGACTAGAATTTATATGCTCAACAATCTTTTCATTTCCTTAATTTATTGTGGCCTTGTTGTTACTGACTTTGCAGCAGTACTTCAAGTGGTTCCTGCCTGTGTAAAGTTTTTGTACACCAACAACCAATTCTCTGAGTCTCTCACACCAACTGGATGCCCAACAACTCAAATTTAATTTTGATATTATCTACCTGAATTTGGCATCATATCCCACAGATTAAAGGGCTTGGTTCCTCAAACTGCTTTCATTTCAGATGCCAGCTGCAACCCCTGGGGGCCACCTGTACTTTTGACTGACTGGCTATAATTCAGGGGTTCCTATGACATCCTTCTCAGGTTGGACAATTTGCTAGAACAACTCACAGAAGTCAGAAAAACACTACTTATGTTTACTATTTTATTTTAAAGGATAAAACTCAGAAACAGTGAAATAGAAGAGATGCACAGGGCAAGGTATTGAGGAGGGGATGCTGTGCAACTACCATGCCCTGTTCAGGCATGCCACCCTCACAGCACCATGAAGTGTTCACCCACCCAGAAGAAGCTCCCTGAATCACATGGTTCAAGAAGATTCATCGGGTCAAATCACCAGTCTCCTGCTCACCTCCTCAGAGGCCAATGGTTAGGGTAGAATTTCCACCCCTCAAATTACTTGGTCCTTCTGGTGACCTGCCCCATCCTGAGGCTACCTAGGAGCCCCACACTAAATCAATTCATTAGCATAAACTTAGGTGTTTTAAAATGACACTCCAGTTTCCCAGGAAATTTCACAGATTATAGGAGCCCTGTTCCAGGAACCAAAAACAAAGACCAAATAGATTTTTATTATATCACAGAGTCATATACATTTGTTTTTTCTTGCTTATTATCTCTAAGGGGTCACAGAGTGGATTTCTGTCTGTTGCTTGGGAAACATCATGTTCTCTCAATGTGAAGCACTTCATTATTCAAGCTTTTCCTCAGTACTTAAATTTTTTCTTTTTATGCACTACTTGGTATTTTTGAACCAAAATATTTATACATTTTGGATGTTTACTTTTTATTTAGTATAAAAATATCCTCAAATACAAAACAATGGCAAGACATAAACTTGTAGGATAACATACATAATAAAGTGAGGTTTCCAGTGAATTGTTTTGTGTGTGTGTGTGTGTGTGTGTGTGTGTGTGTGTGTGTGTTTTATATTATTATGCTGGGTGCAGTTTTCTGTGTTTACCGAGAGATTTTCAGAGCTTAATACAATGCAAAATCCTCTTTATATTCAAATTGTTCCCTAATATATCAATCGTGTTGGAACAAATTCATGTTTTCAAAAAATATTTTAGCAGAAATGACTGCACTTGAGGAATGATGAGCAGCATATTCTTCAGAAAATGCCACTTAAATAATGGATACATTTCTCATATATATATCTATAATATTGAGAGGCAGAGTTTAAGACGATCCTCCCTAATAAGTAACTGGAGTGAAGTTATTCTATACCACTGATTACATGAAGCACTAACTACTTACCTTAGCTGAGAACTCAGAGCTAGGTTGCAGGACCCAGTACTGTATCCTCTTTACTTACCAAAGCATTAACTATAGGATGAACCTTCAGAAAAAAAAAAAAATAGTGAAAGATATTGACTTCAGATACTACTGCTGCCCCTTACATATTCTAAAATTTAATATAGCTTATAATGTATTTTCAAATATATGTCAATATTTACAATGTTTTTACAAAGTCCAGGAGAACACACCATTACCCAGTTAATCAATCAACAGGTATCTGAGCCCAAGTATGGTATTGCCTAAGTCCCAACACTTTAAGAAGCTTATATATAAGTTTCTATTTTTCATTTCTTTGCATTCTATTTATTTTCCACCACTACATCACTACATCATGTTGTAATGAGTATCTTTTTTTTAACCATCATTTTAAGTTGCCTCTTATTTTATTAAGTGAAACTTAGCTCTAGGACTCTTTATGTGAAAAACACTGTGGAAACCCTTATCTTGGAAGAAACCACAATGTTATGGTTATACCATACTTTATCAGCTAGTCTCCCATAGGAGAAAATACCTGGAGAAGGTCCCCTGTTTTATGGCATTATATAATTCGTCTAATAAAATAAACAGCATCATTAGCAAGAGATATGTGAAAAGCCGAGTTACTGATTTGAATATTAGGCTCAAAATATAACCTTTCTTGTCATTTCCACCAGGTAGCATGGAACTTAAATGTGAAAATTTTCTGTTTAGCAAAGCATTTGAAATTAGTAACCCATCCTTAGGATGTGGGGATATAACTTCTGGTTCTATCTAGTAGGAAAGAACTATAATATTAGAAAAAACCCTATTTAAAACAATTTGCACTAAAAAGACAAATACTATTTAAAAAGAAAAAAGGGTACACCTGTTTGAAATGCTGACTCAGAAAAAATGGTGACTTTTTCAAAGAAAGTCATAATATTATGAATCAGAAAATAGGATTGTGTACTCCACTAATTTCTAGGTGGAAGGAAAAAGAACTGTTTCAAATGTTTCAAAATGTTGATGAAAAGAGGGGTGCACTTGTAAAATGTGAATTATAAAGATCAATTGGAGATAGGGGAAATTACCTAAATATAGAATCTTTCATTCTTATTCCTTGTAGAAAACAGGAAAATATTTACTGGCTTTATCTTAAAGCAGAGAAAAAGATGATTGACCAAAAAAAAGTACTATTCTCAGGATGCATGTTTCCTTGAGTGGGAGCAGTCTTAAGGAACAATATTTACAGAGGGGAATTTAAAAAATACATATTACCTATTATAATCTTGTAACATGACAAGCCAATATGTTAATGTGTTTAATTATATATTTTTAAATGTTTGAATGACATATTTATGTAGTGCATTTTAAAAGAAAAACAACTTTACAGTTTGTAGTGTATTGGATATTCTTAAGGCAATTTTGCCTTGCTATCCAGAGCTTATTGAATCTTAATATTCTTTTTTTATCCAATAAATATTGTTGAAGAACAACTATATGTTAGGGAAACTCTTCAGCACTGAGGATGTAAATAAAAATAAGATATACCTTCACACTTTGAGAATTTCACCATACAGCAAGAAGCTCTACAGACTCTATAATGTATCCTAGTATTACTGATCAAATACAAACTATATATCTCTTTAGTAGTGTGAATATGAAGGGATGATGTAGCAGATTCCTTGAAATCATCATTAGCATATTTCCTAATTAAATCATAGACATTTTAAATAAGATCATTCTTGATTTAGAAGTAAGTGTTATATTAGCACTATATTCTATATGCTAAAAACAGAAAGGTCTGCAATAGAATGAAGCTTCTTGAATGGTACATCATATAAGAATTTAAGGAATGTCCCGTTATCCATAAACTTTCTGAAGATACTCTCATCTACTCAAAATTAAGCCCCTTTTCTGTTTTATTTATTCATGTATTCATTCACTGATGTGTTGATTCATTCATCAAGAAATGCCTCAGTCTTAAGCATAAAAAAAGAAAACAACATATTCCTTGTTTGCAAATAGCTCAGTTTCTTAACTTGTTCTAGCCTTCTATACTCTTGTTTCTAAAATGGCAACATCTCTGAGCGTTTTCACAGTGGTAGTATTTTATTAGTCTGTTCTCACACTGCTATAAAGAACTGCCTGAGACTGGGTAATTTATAAAGGAAAGAGATTTAATTGACTCACCGTTCCACAAGGCTGGGGAGGCCTCAGGAAACTTACAATTATGCTGGAAAGGGAAGCAAACACATCCTTCTTCACATGGTGGCAGGAGAGAGAAATGAGTGTCCAGCAAAGGGGTGAGCCCCTTATAAAACCATCAGATCTTGTGAAAACTCACTCACTACCATGAGAACAGGATGGGCAAACTGATCCCACGACTCAATTATCTCCATGTGGTCCCTCCTATGACATGTGGGGATTATGGCAACTGCAATTCAGAATGAGATTTTGGTGGGGACACAGCCAAACCATATCAAGTATATAATCAAGAAGCCCAGGCCAAAGGTTTGAGGCAAGTAATCCCAGCACTTTGGGAGGCCAAGGCGGGTGGATCACCTGAGGTCAGGAGTTCAAAAGCAGCCTGACCAACATGGAGAAACCCCATCTCTACTATAATTATGAAATAAGCCAGGCGTGGTGTTGCATGCCTGTAATCCCAGCTACTCAGGAGGCTGAGGCAGAAGAATCACTTGAACTCAGGAGGCAGAGGTTGTGGCAAGCCGAGATCGTGCCATTGCACTCCAGGCTGGGCAACAAGAGCAAACTCTGTCTCAAAAAAAAAAAAAAAAAAAAAAAAAGAAAAAAGAAAAAATAGGCGATAAGAGCCAGACCCCTTTTCATAGCCCATTGACAATACTAGGTAAGTATTTTACAGTGATAATAGAAGAGAAAGACTGGTTTAGGTATTCTCCTTAATCTCCAAACCCTTTCTTTAAAAAGAAGCTTATTTAATTAATTTATTTAACAGACACTTAACTAGCACTTAGGCACATATAATGTTCCAGGTACTATTTGAAACTCTTCAAGATCGCAAAGCACTTTAAGTGGGCCCTGAATAGAAGACAATATATGCTATTACAAGCTGGTGGAATTTAATCTTCTGGTGAAATAATCGTAACATTAATAATAATTACTAACTCTTCCTGCCTGAGACTTTATATACATTTCCCTTAATACGAATTGCAAAAATATATATAGGCCCTATATATTGCCATCCCTGTTTTATGGTTGTGTAAAATAGAGGTTAAATGTCCAGGGTCACAAAGTAACTGTTGGAGCCTGGATTCAAATCCACATCTGTCTGACTTCAAAGCTTAAGATCATACCCATCACCACCACAATGTACTGGGTTGTATGTGAATTTGGATGCATAGTTAAGGATCTTCTACAGAATCTTCCTCATAGCTTGTCAGATTTTCTGGTGTTATATGATTATTGATTCATTTTAAGGGAACACTCTTAAAATTACTCTTAAAAATTCAAAAAAACCAGAAACCTAGTAGTACAATGAAGAAGTTTTGATAGTAAATTTTTAGCCATGCATATTGAAACCTGAGAAGAGTAGTGAGCAAAATTGCTAAAGAAAGTGACTTCATTAGAAAGAGCAAGGAAGTTGAAAGGAGCTGCTAACTTGGTAGACTTAACTGTTTACCTATCCATGTCTGTCTACCTGGCACTAATTGCCAAATATAATTGTTCAGACTTCTATATTGAGTCTTGAGATATCTGCACCATCAATTAATTAGCGGCATGTATATCTCTTTTATTTAAGATTTAAATTAAAGTAACTAATAAATGTATGATAGAGTAATCTACTTTAACACGAGTGTTTTGGCACACTGGATTTTGTTCACCAGAGGCTAGAATAGCAAAAGTGATGTCTCAGGAAAATAACCCTTAAAATGTTTCTATTTAGGACTTCGTTGGTCTGTAACACAGATCTCTTCCTTTTTCTTCTTTTAATTATTTTACTAGATCTTTCTCTTCTTTCTTAACTTTTGTAAAATCAACCCTGATATACAGTTGACCTTTGAACAATATGGTTTTGACCTGTGCGGATCCACTTACATACAGATTTTTTCAATAAATATGTTGGAATATATTTTGGAGATTTGCAACAATTTGAAAAAACTCACAGACAAGCCACATATCTTAGACATATAGAAAAAAAATAACAAAAAGTTATGTATGTTGTAAATGCATAAAATACCTAGATACTTGACTATTTTATTATTTATCACCATAAAATACACACAAATCTGTTATAAAAAGTTAAAATACATCAAAACTTATTCATACAACCACTTACAGACCTTACATAGTGTCATTTGCAGTTGAAAGTAGACAAACACAAAGATATGTTATTAAATCACAACTCCATAAAATTAACTGTAGTATGTAGTGCACTACTACAATTTCATAGCCACCTTCTGTTGCTGTCGCAGTGAGCTCGTGTTGTCAGCATTCACTTAAAATGCCCTGTGCTGTTGATCATCTCCACATGAGCAGCTTGTCTCCTTAGTAAATTGTGCGTCACAGTAAAAAGGGATTTCTCATGGTTCTTGCATATTTTCATCATGTTTAGTGTAACACCGTGTTTTAGTAACAACATGGGATTCATATGATGTGCCACTGATGATGCTGGAAGTGCTACCAAGAAGCAGAGAAAAGTTATTACATTACAAGAAAAAGTTGATTTGCTTGATATGTACCGTAGATTGAGGTCTGCAGCTGCGGTTGCCTGCCATTTAAAGGTAAATGGATCCAGCATAAGAAGCACTGTAAAAAAAGAAAAAGAAACACATGAAGCCATTGTTACTGGTATCCCAGCATATGTGAAAACCTTTCACATTTTGTGAAATATCTTTTTCTCTTGCACTGAAACTGCAGCTTTTATGTGGGTGCAGAATTGTTACTAAAAAAGGCAGACCTACACAATTTAATATAAATTGAGAAAAAGCAAAGTCATTATATGACAATTTAAAGCAAAAGGAAGATGAAGAATCGGAAGCTGAAGTATTTAATGCCAGCGAAGGAAGGTTTGATAAATTTAGAAAGAAGTATGGATGAAAATATGTAACAATAACAGAAGACGCAGCTTCTGCCAATCAAGAAGCAACAGACAGATTCCTAGATGCCATTAAAAAAAACAGTGAGGAGAAGAGATAACTAACTGAACAGATTTATAATGCAGAAAAGTGCCCTGTTCTTGAAAAAAATGCCACCAAAGATATTTATTACTAAAGAGGAGAATCAAGCACCAGGATGTAAGGCAGGAATGGATAGACTAACTCTACTGTTTTGTGCAAATGCAGTCGGGTTTATGATCAGGACTGCCTTTATCTATAAAGCTGCTAACCTCTAAGCCTTAAAGAGAAAATATAAGCACCAGCTGCCAGTCTTTTGGGTTGTACAGTAGGAAGGCCTGGACAATGAGAACCCTGTTTTTGAATTGATTCCTTCCATGCTTTGTCTCTGAACTCAGGAAGTATTCTACAGTAAGACACGGCTTTTTAAAGTTCTTTTGATATTGGACAATGTCCCAGAATACTTGAAACCCGTGAATTCAACACCAAAGGTGTTGAAGTGGTCTCCTTCCCCCAGATGCAATATGTCAAGCTCAGCCTCTAGATCAGGGCTCATAGGGACCTTTAAGGCTAATTACACGTGATTCTCTATGGAAAGGATTGTGAACACTATGAAAGAGAACCTGGATACAGAGAACATCATGCGAGCCTGGAAGAATTACACCATTGAAGATGCCATTATTGTTATAGAAAGAAACATGAAAGCCATCAAGCCCAAAACAATAAATTTCTGCTGGAGAAAACTGTTTTCAGATGTTGTGCATTACTTTACAGGACTTACAACAGAGCTAACCAAGGAAATCATGAAAGATATTGTGAATATGTTAAAAAAATGTGTTTAGGGGGGTTTAGGCTTCGAAGATATGGGGCTTGGAGAAACTCTAGAGCTCATAGACCCCACACCAGACAAATTAAAAGAAAATGACTTGATGGAGATTAGTGCTTCCAAACCAGTGCCAGACAATGAAGAAGAAGACATAGAAACAGGGCCAGAAAAGAAATTGACATAAGGCAATCTGGCAGAAAGGTTCCAATGATTCAAGATTGCATTTGACTTCTTTTATGACATTGCCCTTTCTATGATATGGCCAGTGAAACTAAAGCAAATAATGGAAGAAGAATCGGTACTGTATAGAAAAACTCCTAGATAAATGAAAAAGTGAAAAATTCAGAAAGAAATTATGACATATTTCTGTAAATGTACACAGAGTGTGCCTGCCTCCCCTTCTGCCTCTTCCACCTTTCCGCCTCTGCCCCTCCTGAGACAGCAGGACCAGCCCTTCTTGTTCTTCCTCCTCGTCAGCCTACTCAAGGTGAGTATGCAGACATTTATGTTGCAGACCTTTATGATGATCCACTTCTGCTTAATGAATAGTAAATACATTTTCTCTTCCTTATGATTCCCTTACTAACCTTTTTTCTCCAGCTTACTTTATTGTAAGAATACAGTGTATAATGCATGTAATTAATATATAAAATCTACTCTTTTTTGACTGTGTTAATTGACTGTTTATGTTCCATTTCTGGAGAGTCAAAAGTTTGAAGAAAAACTGAATTCTATTCTATACATAGCTGCATTCTGTAAAAGCATGTGACCACACAGTAATGAACATTATAATGTTCATTTTGCTTATCATTTCAAAGTGTGAATTAATGATTTTAGCAGTGTGTTCTTAGGCATTTGTAGTTAATTTGTCTACCCTGCTAATCTACAGTATAATATATAATCACAAAGAAGCAGTGGGAGAAAAAAATAGTGGTAATCCCAACAGAGGTGTTAACAGAGATTCCAATTTTACTGAAAAGAAGTAGAGATCCCACTGAAGCTGGCAAACAAAGAGAAATCTTCCTTAGCTAGTAAGATTTGCTAAATCTTACTTTTATCCTTTGTGCTATGTCAGATCATGTTGTTCTTCTGCTAAGAATTCTCCAATGACTTCCATCTCAGTAAAGGTAAGGGCCAAATCAAGCTTCTATACAACTGAACCCCTTACTCCTTTGACTGCAGCTTCTCCAACATTTTTGCTCACTCCACTTCATCAATATAGTCCTCTTTGCTGTTGGAAAGAGGCAAGCTTAGAGCTGTTGCATCTCCTTTCCTTCTGTTTGAAATTATCTTCCCCAAGATAACCATATTTTTCACTTCATTGTTTCCTGATCTTTGTTCAAATGGCACCATCTCAGTGAATTTTTCCCTGATGATACTATATAAAATTATGTTTCCTCACCTCCTCTTGTCTGCTTATTTTTGTTTCTTAATGCTTATTACCTTCTAATATGCTTCATAATTTACTTATTTATTTTGTTTACATTCCATCTTCCCCAAGTATGTAAGATCCATGAGGGCAAAGGTTTTTGCCTATTTGTTTACTGATATTTCTGCAGTGCCAGTAACATTGCCAGACACACAGTAGGTGCTCACAAATACCTGTTACATGAATGAATGAATGATGGATGGTAAAATAAGGAAAACCTGTTTGTTCTACTAGTAATGTATGAATCTTCAAGCTTGCTCACAGTTAATTACATGCAATAATTTTAGGGAAAAAACCTTTCCGTAAGCCACCCTCTTTTGTTTCTGACTGAAGCTTTCTTTTACCCTCCCAATAGGTAACATGATGCATATCTTCAAACACATTTTTTGCATTTTTCCATTGAAGAACAAACTGGAATGTTTGGGGAAAGATAACTTCATAAGCAAAAGTATAGCTGAAACTCAGAACATAAATAGCATTTCAATGCTCTTTAATAGGGTACAATATTACAGGAAGCTAAATGTCAAAGTATGTAAGTTTTTCCTTTCCTGTCATATAAGACAGCCCTAACAATATTCTCTGTTATATGTTTGAAAATGGAAGATTATTCATATTCTAAGTGGAACTTCCAGAAAGTATGCATATAATGAAAGGTGGGTAGATAATAAGGTAAGAGGTGTCCTAAAAATAATAGACACCCATGAGATCTGATACAGGATGAATGACTTATTCTTATAAATTTCAGTGCAGAATTTATGTGAAATATTAATTTAGAAGTATATCATCAGCTGAAAGGGACTGGTAAGTACAGTAAATAATTAATTTGAAACTACTTTTAACAAAAACCAAGTTTTTTAATCACTAGGCTGCTAAAGAATCTGTTAGCATAAAATAATAGATGTAACTGTCAACATGGACAATATCTGTGTGCTTTTTTAAAAATAATTTTTCCATCATCACCTGGATTTTTACGGAAAGATCCTACTAACTTATCCTTGAAAAATCAATTTACCCACTATCAGTCACATATGCTAAACAAGGTTGCAAAATAATTGTGAGAGAAGAGCGACCATAATCTGCACAATGTGAATGAGTAAATTTAAACTGCTATTAAAATATATAAATGACCTAATTTGGGTTAAAATTATTTTCATGATAAAACTTTATTATACCCCACATCATTCAAACCTGGCATATTTTTTCCAAAGGCAGCTAACATTCAGCCTAATGAGTGAGATCACACAGATTGAGCTGCTGTCCATTTCCTTGAGGCTGAAAGAACTATCTTTGCTCATTGATTGTTTGAGAAACTATCACAATGTGATGTTTTCTAAAAAAAAAAAATTCAAGGATAAGTCTCTTTTAAAAGTAATCGTTTATTGTTTTTGGTTATGGGTTTTAATAGATTGACCAGTAAGATGTATAATAGAAAATTAATTTTCTTAAAATAAAATGTGAAAAAAGAGGTTTTCATTTAAAAATAATGTAGAGAATTATCTTTGTAGTACAATCTCATGTTTATAATACATGGTTCTTTTCTGAGTTTCCAAACCAGAAATTTGAACATCTGAGACTAATCTACTTTGCTGTCTACCAAAATTTCACTCTCCTTCTGATTGCACTGAGCACATTCTGACAAAGCTAAGCTATATAGTCAGGATACCTGGGTTGGAGCAGTTTCTGGGAAGGTATTTTGAGAAAGATATATTAGTAATAACATTGTAGATACACATTTGGACATGCACTATCTCAAGAGGATTATTGGTTACTTATTTATTCATTCAACAAACATTTGTTGAGATATCCCAAAATACAGACATGCCTTTAAGAAGCTCAGTATATGGATGGATGGCAGCATGTAGCACAAATAATTTATATTCATTATATATTATTCTAAGTGCAATTATAGAGATATATCATAGGTATAGTGGTGCCATAAATAAGGACGGCTAAACAGTGCTTTTTTGGATCACAGGAATTTTCACTGTGGAAGAACCATTTGATCTGGATATTGAAAGAGTGTTGCACAATCATTATATGAAATTACAATAAATTTATAGTTTCCACATTGTGGTAGGGTGTTAATTATTGTCCAATAATTTTTAGTCACCATGAAGACAGAGAAGATCTCAGATTCCTTTACGTTGCTCTTCAATGTCCACTCCAGACTTATATTTTTTTTAACCTCAAATCTCCTAACATTCCACTTTCTCTTTTGGTGTTAGCAGACTTAGCCTCTCACTTCACTGAGAAAATGGAAGCCGTAAGTCGAGAAATTAGTACAACTTCCTTACTTTTCCCGTACTGTGTATCTTCATGTCCACATATCTTTTACTTCCTCACTCATAACTCAATGGAAGAGGGCTCCCTTCTTCTCCACATGACAAATTTCTCCCCTTCTGTTTCTTCTGTCTCCTAAGAAACTTGTTCCATCCGATATCATCTCTATATTCTTTGTCAATAACATAAGTCTCTCTAGTCATCATGCCATTTTCTTTATAGCTAAGAGTCATCATAATAGTAGTCTGTAGTTATTTACTGCCTCTGCTTATTTACTGCCCATTGTCCCCAAATTACAATCATCTGGCTTCTCAACAACCCCTTCCATTCCCTTGAAATAGAAGACCCTGTCTTCCCAATTTATCAATGCGATCAGTATTTCCAAAGGCTCCAGTCACTTTGCTTTCCCTATCTTACTTCATCTCTCTTTGATATTTTGCACTGTGGCCCACTGTCTTCATGAGATTGTCCTTTCTCAATTTCTATGATACTCCTTTCTCCTTGTTTTCCTCTATCATTATGGCTATTTCCTCTTACTCCCTTTACAGGTTCTTCAGTGTGAATAATCCTAAAATGTTCATGATATTCAGGAAGCTATCCTCACCACCTGCTTTTTAGACTCCATAGGCTCTTTCTGGATAATATCAGGCATGTTCATATCTGTAGTTTTATGCCTGTAACTCCAAAGTTTCTATCTATAGTCATAACCTCACTACAGAATTCCAAACCAAGCATGTTCAGCTTGCAACTGGACATCTCCATTGCCATATTCCATTGGAAACTTTAAAAAAAGTCTTTCTTCAGTCTTTTCTTTCTTTATCCTAGTTTTCATTCCTTCCTAAGCATTATTCAGTATCCACTAAAGCTTAGGCTTAAAAAAGAATGCCATGGAGTTACTACTGTATGCATACAAGTCCCCAAAAGACAAAAAAAAAATAGCAAGCTAGAATATAAAATACAAGAAATAAAAGTGACCTTTTAATAAAACATTCTATAAACAAATGTACAAGCAAAAAACAAACAGCCCCATTAAAAACTGGGCAAAGGACAAGAACAGACAGTTTTCAAAAGATGACATACTGGCCAAAAAGCATATGAAAAAAAAAATGCTTAACATCACTAATGATTAGAGAAATGCAAATCAAAACCACAATGAGATACCATCTCACACCAGGCAGAATGGCTATTACTAGGAGGTCAAAGAGAACTGACCTCAAGTGAACCTCCCACCTTGGCCAGTGAATGTTCTGGGACTACAGGTGTGGGCTACCACACCTAGGCCCCAAATTATAATTACTAGAAAGATGTCAATATGTCCAGAAAGTTTTATTTTTTAACGTTTATTTTAGGTTCAGGGGTGTGTGTGGGGGTTTGTTACATACGTAAACTATGCGCCACTGGGGTGCGGTGGACAGACCATTTTGTCCCCCAGGTAATAAGCATAGGACCAGATAAGTATTTTTTCTGATTCTCTCTCTCCTCCCATACTCCATCCTCAAGTAGGCCCCAGGCAAGGTGCAAGCAAGATGCTGCCGAGGTTGCACTGAAAAGCGAACGCTTATACACTGCTGCTGGGAGTGTAAACTACTTCAGCCACTGTGGAAAGCAAAGTGGCGATTTTTCAAAGAACTTAAAACAGAATTACCACTTGACCTGGCAATCCCATTATTGGCTATATACCCAAAGGAATATAAATCATCCTACCTTAATGACACATGCACGCATATGTTCATTGCAGCCCTGTTTATAATAGCAAAGACATGGAATTGACTTAATGCCTATCAATGGAAGACTAAAGAAAATGTATATATATATATACACGTATATATATACACATATATATACATGTATATATACACGTATATATATACACATATATATACGTGTATATATATATACACGTATATATATACATGCATATATATATATATATATAAATGAAATATTATGCAGACGTTGAAAGGAATGAGATCATGTCCTTTGCAGCAACATGGATAGAGCTGGTGGCCATTATTTTAAGCAAACTATTATTTTAATGCAGCTACAGAAAACCAAATACCACATGTTCTCACTTATAACTAGGGGGTAAACAATGAGAACATACAGACACGAAGAGGGGAACAACAGAAACTGGGGCCTACTTGAGGGTGTAGAGTGAGAAGAAGGAGGGGATCAGAAAAAACACCCATGTGGTCCTATGCTCGTTACCTGCGTGACAAAATAATTTGTGCAACAAACCCTCATGACATGCAGTTTACCTATGTAACAAACCTGCACATGCACCACTGAACCTAAAATAAAAGTTAAAAAAGAAAACATTCCGGGGTATTGACACTGTTCTAATAATTATAATTTGGGGACTGGGTGCAGCAGCCCACACCTGTAATCCCAGGTTTTGGGAGCTGGAGGTGGAAAGATCACTTGAGGTTAGGAGTTCAAGACCAACTTGAGCAACATAGTGAGACCCTGTCTTTAAAAAATTAGCCAGGCATGGTGGCTTGAGCCCAGAAGTTTGGGATTACAGTGAACTATGTTTGTACCACTGCACTCCAGCCTGAATGAGAAAGAACATGTCTCTTAAAAAAGTTATAATTTGGACATAACACACTAATATAATTAGAATTAATCGAACATCTTAGAGCCTTCAAAATATCTTAGTTTAGGCCGGGCGCGGTGGCTCACGCCTGTAATCCCAGCACTTTGGGAGGCCGAGGCGGGCGGATCACGAGGTCAGGAGATCGAGACCATCCCGGCTAAAACGGTGAAACCCCGTCTCTACTAAAAAATACAAAAAATTAGCCGGGCGTAGTGGCGGGCGCCTGTAGTCCCAGCTACTTGGGAGGCTGAGGCAGGAGAATGGCATGAACCCGGGAGGCGGAGCTTGCAGTGAGCCGAGATCCCGCCACTGCACTCCATCCTGGGCGACAGAGCGAGACTCCGCCTCAGAAAAAAAAAAAAAAAAAAAAAAAATCTTAGTTTAATAAATTATTATTATTATTATTTTTTGAGACAGAGTCTCACTCTGTCGCCCAGGCTAGAGTGCAATGGTGCGATCTCAGCTCACTGCAACCTCCGCCTTCTGGGTTCAAGAGATTCTCCTGCCTCAGCCTCCCAAGTAGCTGGGACTACAGGTATGTGCCACCATGCCCTGCTAATTTTTTGTATTTTTTTTTTTTTTTTTTTTTTTTTGAGACGGAGTCTCGCTCTGTCGCCCAGGCTGGAGTGCAGTGGCGCGATCTCGGCTCATTGCAAGCTCCGCCTCCCGGGTTCACGCCATTCTCCTGCCTCAGCCTCCCAAGTAGCTGGGACTACAGGCGCCCGCCACTACGCCCGGCTAATTTTTGTATTTTTAGTAGAGACGGGGTTTCACCGTTTTTTTAGCCGGGATGGTCTCGATCTCCTGACCTCGTGATCCGCCCGCCTCGGCCTCCCAAAGTGCTGGGATTACAGGCGTGAGCCACCGCGCCCGGCCAATTTTTTGTATTTTTAATAGAGACGGGGTTTCACCGTGTTAGCCAGGATGGTCTCGATCTCCTGACCTTGTGATCCACTTGCCTTGGCCTCCTAAAGTGCTGGGATTACAGGTGTGAGCCATACCGCGCCTGGCCTAGTTTAATAAATTATTTTAAGTGACAACATATTGGCTAAGCTCATGTTTGCCTTAGAAAGCTAGAAGGAAACAGTTTGGCATTACAGTGGGAATCTAATATTTCATTTGAGTTAATCTGAGAGCATGTTATTGTTTACATTTAAAATACATTTAAATACATTTCTAAGAAAATCACTAATTATCATAAGCGAATAAAGAAGAATGATTGATTATAATTCGCTAAGCCCTCTTCCCTAGTGTTTTCTCAAATCAAGGGGAGTGGTTGACTGTATTACCAGTTTAAGCCAAACACAGGTTTCAGCTTGGATCATTTGAATAACTCAAATAAAAGTGGAATTTATGCCCGAAAGATGAGTGTTATCCTCTCAATTTGTTTGATTGTGAGGATCTGATCAAGCTGGTAAAGGGAGCCTGGCTTAAGTATGTTCTGATTTCATTTTATTCTTATTTATTTATTTATATCTCATTTTCTAAAACTATCTTCAACTTCTTTGTCCTCACTTTCTACTAATATGTTTTCTCAGGTTCTCTGTAACCAGCATCATGTTTGGAAGGGTATAAAAACAGAAAAACTAGTCATTTTAATATGCTTGATTTAGTGTAAAATAACTGGCTTGCTTGTGGGTTTTATGTTAGTTTATTTTCATTGAATTAATTTATTTTCTTACTAAAATCTTTGAATTATCTAATTACTTCAATTTCCAATGCAGAGGAATCACAAAAACATAAAATCACTCTCTGAGTTAAAAGTTCCCAACTCATGTAAACAAGTGGAAACAAAAAATAATTACAGGCTTACAATAAAAACAGCAGAAGAGCACAAATATAGTAGAGATTTTAATGAAGAGGATGGTTATTTTTACCTTAGAGTTAGATTAGAAGAAGCTTTATGAATGGTGTCATTAAAGGGTTTAAGTGGAAAATGACATTGTCAGATGTACATTGTAGATAGATTACTTCTAAGAAGATATAAAGATTGGATTGGATAGGTGTAAAATTGAATCTAAAAGACAAGTTAGGAAATTATTGCAATCATCTCTGCAAAATAATATATAGGCCTGGCCTAAGGCATTGGGAGTGAAAAAGAGAAGGTATAAGCAAGGGGAAGGATGTTGACTCAGGTGTCTGAGCAGGGGTTGAGGTAAAAAAAAATTGGAATGACTCTGAAGTTTCTGACCTAAGATAGTAGAAACATGAATGAGGATGTGAGAGACAGGAAAACATAAGACCTATTAGGGAGGATGTTGTGATGATGAGATTACTTTTTGACATACTAACCTTGAAAAGCCTGTGGTATATTCATGTATGAAATGTCAAATTGCAGGTTTTTCTTTTTTGTCTGAATATTAGGAAACAGATCTGGGGGTAGAAAGGGTTAAGGATTTCTGAATGTCAGCATATTGGTGGTTGAAACATTAATAGTAAATGAATTTATCAGGGGACATTATATTGAGTGAGACGGGAATTGAAGATAAAACCCTAAAGAACACTTGTGTTGAATGGAAAAAAAATATGGCAAACAGTCAAGAAAGAAACCTTCCACAAATGGTCAAATGTAGGAAAAGAACCAGAACAGTGTGTTATCAAGGAAGCCTAAAACAAGAGACCATTTTCAGACAAAATAGAGTGGTAAATTATATCAGATATCATAGAAAAATCTTATTCTGTATGAGACTGCTTCCCAGCTGGAGTTGAAAAATATTTTAAGTTACTTTCTTTATGCTCAGCTCAGCTATCGTAATGTGATGTTTGAGCCAAAATTTGTAATTAATCCTTGCCCTTTCTCTATTCTTGAGAAGTTATAATTCAGAGATAATAAGTAAGAAGAAAATAAGAGTTAGCTTGACTTCTGTTGATCTTTTGTGTCTGATATGGTTTGGATCTATGTTGCCACCTAAATCTCATGTCAAATTGTAATCCCCAATGTAGGAGTTTGAAGCTGGTGGGAGGTGTTGAATTATGGGGACAGATTTCTCCCTTGGTGCTGTTCTTGTGATAGTGAATAAGTTCTCATGAGATCTGGTTATTTAAAAGTGTGTGGCACTTTCCCCAGCCGTCCTCCTACTCTAGCCATGTCAAGTGCTGGCTCCCCATGTGCCTTCTGTGATGATTGTAAGTTTCCTGAGGCCTCCCCAGAAGCTGAGCAGATGCTGTGACACTTCCTGTACAGACTGTGGAATCATGAGCCAATTAAACCTCTTTTCTTTATAAATTACCCAGTCTCGGTCATTCCTTTATAGCAATGTGAGAACTGAAGAATACAATGTCAAAGTAAGAAGCATGGGGAAGAGCAAGATGGCTGAATAGAAGCCTCCACTTATCATCCACTCTTTCGTGAACACCAAATTTTAACAACTACACAGAAATGCATCATCGTAAGAAGCAAAAATCAAGCGAGCAATCAGAGTACCCAGTTTTAACTTTCTATTGCTGAAAGAGACTCTGAAGAGGGTAGGAAAGACAGTCTTGGGTCACTGATGCTACACCTCCCCCATCCTTTAGCAAGGACCACATGGAACGCAGAGAGAATCTGTGCACTTGTGGGAGAGAGAACACAATGGCCGGAGGAATTGGCATTGAACTCAGTGCTGCCTTGTCACAGCAGAGAGCAAAGCCATGCTGGATTCAGCCAGCACTCACTCATGGAGGGAGCATTTGGATCAGTCCTGCCAGAGGGGAATTATCTATCTCAGAGACAGAAACTTGAATTTCTCAGCAAGCCTTGCCACTGTGGGATAAAGGGCTCTGGGGTCCAAGGTAAACTTGAAAGGCAGTCAAAGACACAAGGACTGCATTTACTAGGCATGTCCTAGTGCTGGTCTGGATTTAGAGTCAGCAGACTATGATGGGACATGACCTAGGTATAGAGAGGCTAAAGAAATGCTTGTGACACCTCTTTCCCAACCCCAGGCAGCACAGCTTACACCAACAAAAGTGACTTCTTCCTTCTGCTTGAGGAAAGGAGAGGAAAGGGTAAAGAGGACTTTGTCTTGCATCTTGGATCACAGACACAATAGGATAGGGTACTGGTACTGGGCAGATTCATGAGGTCCCCATTCTAGGCCCTACCTCCAAGAAGACATTTCTAGACACACCTGGGACCAGAAGGTAACCTACTGACTTGAAGAAAATTACCTGGTCCTTGCAGAATTCACCATCTGCTGATTTAAGAGCCCTTGGGGCCTGAATAACCAAGAGTGATACCCAGGTAGTATGCCATGGGTCTTTAGTGAGGCCGAGATGTGCTGGATTCAGGTAAAACCCAGCACATTTCAGGCTGTGTTGGTTATAGTGAAAGACTTCTTCTGCATGAGAAAATCAGAGAGAAAAGTGAAGGGAACTTTGTCTTGCACCTTAGGTACCTACCAGCTCAGCCCCAGTGGGGTAGAATGCTAAGTGGGCTTTTGCAGTCTCCAAGTCCAGGCCTAGGCTCCTGAGCAGTATTTCTGGACATTCCCTGGGACTCAGGGGTGATTATTTCACTGTAGAGTGAATCCCAGGCCTGGCGGCATTCACCACAAGCTGACTGAAGAGCCCTTGGAATGTTAAGTGAGCAGTAGTGGTTGCCTGGCAAATTCCCCGTGTGCTGGTGGTGGTGATGGCCACTGGGAGAGGCTCCTGTGCCTGGAAAAAGGGGAGAAAAGAGCAGGAAGGATTTTGTCTTGTGGTTTGAGAGCCAGCATAACTGCAAAGGAATAGAACACCAGGGAGATTTCTAAGGTTTTTGAATCCAATCCCTGGCTCCCAGACAAAATTTCTAGACCTGCATGGGGCCTGGGGGGACTTGCCATTCTGAAAGGAAGGACAGAAATTTGGCTGGCTTCCCCATTTGCTGATTGTAGAGACTTAGGGTCTTGAGTGAACATAGTCAGTAGCCAGGTAGTGCTAACAGTGGGCCTCGGGTGAGACCCAGTGCTGTGCTGTCTTCAGGTTTGACGCAGCACAATCCCAGTCATGGTGGTGGCAGTGGTGTGTATGGTAACCCACACCCAGCTCCAAGCAGCATAGCACACAAAGAGATTGTTTGGGAGAAAGTAAGGAAAGAGGACAAGAGTATCTCCCTATAATCCAGATAATTCTTCTGCATCTTATCCAAGAACATCAAGGTGGTACCTCTATGAGTCTACAAGAACCACTGAATTATTGAGCTTGAGGCCCAAGTCCCTTTGAATATCTGGAAAGCCTTCTCAGAAGAGATAAACAAAAACCTATGTGAAGCCTATGATAAATACCAAACTCTTCAATGCTCAGACACTGGTGAACATTCACAAGCATCAAGACAGTCATCATGACCTCAACAAAGGAACTAAACAAGGCATCAGAGACCAACCCTGGATGAACAGAGATATGTGACATTTCAAACAGATAGTTCAAAATAGCTGTTTTGAGGAAACTCAAGGAAACCCAATATAATACCAAGAAGAAATTTAGTTATATCAGATAAATGTAACAAAGAAATTGAAATAATTAAAAAGCATCAAGCAGAAATTCTAAGGTTGAAAAATGCAATTGACATACTGACTAATGTGTCAGAGGCTCTTAATAGCAAAATTGATCAAGCAGAAGAAGAATTAGTGAAATTGAAAACAGGCTATTTGAAAATAAAGTCAGAGGAGGTAAAACAAAAATAAAAAACAATAAAGCATGTCTACAATATCTAGAAAATAGCCTCAAAACGGCAAATCTAGGAGTTACTGGCCTTAAAAAGGAGGTAGAGAAAGAGATAGGGGTTGAAAGTTTACTCAAAGTGATGGTAACAGATATCTTCCGAAATCTAGATAAAGATATTGGTATCCAAATACAAAAAGGTTACAGAATGCCAAGCAGATTTAACACAAAAACACTACCTCAAGGGATTTAATAATCAAACTCCCAAAAGTCAAAGATGAAGAAAGGTTTCTAAAAGCAGCAAGAGAAAAGAAAAAAATTACATACAATGGAGCTCCATTATGTCTGCAAGCAGACATTCCAGTGGACACCCTATAGGCCAGGAGAGATTGGCATGACATATTTAAAGTGCTGAAGCAAGAAAAAACAAACAAACAAACAACAAACTTTTACCCTGGAATAGTATATCTGGTAAAAATATTCTTCAAACATGAAAGAGAAAAAAAGGCTTTCCAGACAAAGAAACTTTGAGGGATTTCATAAACACCAGATATGACTTACAGGAAATGCTAAAGAGAGTTTTTCAGTCTGAAATAGAATTACATTAATCAGAAATAATAAATCATCTGAAGGTATAAAACTCATTGGAAATAGTAAGTACATAGAAAATCACCAAATATAATAACACTGTAATTGTGATGTGTAATCTATTCATATCTCAAGTAGAAAGACTAACAGAATAACCAGTCAAAAATAATACTACAACTTTTCAAGACATAGACAGTACAATAAGATACAAATGGAAAAAACCAAAAACTTATAAATGGGGGGTAGGTGAAGTTAAAGAGTAAGGTTTTTGTAAGTTTTTTATTTTTCTTGTTTGTTAGGATGTTTATGCAATCAGTGTTGAGTTGCCATCACTTTAAAATAATAGGTTATAAGACATTATTTGCAAGACTCATGATAACCACAAATAAAAAAAAAGAATACTCAAAAAAATGAAAAGCAAGAAATTAATTTGTCATACCACAAAAGAAAATTACCTTCACTAACAGGAAGACAGAGAGGAAGAGAAAAAGGAAGAGAAGGTGACAAAATCATCAGAAAACAAATAACTAAATGGCAGGAGGAAGTTCTTACTTCTCAATAATATTTAATGTAAATTAACTGAACCCTCCAATAAAAAGACATAAAATGGATAAAAATACAAGATCCAGTGATTTGTTGCCTACTGGAAACACACTTCTCCAATAAAGACACATATAAACTGAAAATAAAGAGATGAAAAAGATATTCAATGGCAATGGAAATCATAAAAGAGCATGTGTAGTTATACTCATAACACAAACAAAAAAATAAACTTTAAGACAAAAATGTATAAAGAGACAAAGAAGGTCATTATGTAATGAAGGTGTCAACATAGCAAGAGGACATCAAAATTGTAAAAGTATATGCACCAAACACTGGGGCACCCAGATATATAAAGCAAATATTGTTAGAAGTAAAGACAGAGACCGAAATAAAATAATATCTAGAAAATTCAACACCCAACTTTTAGCATTTGACAGATCTTCCAGACAGAAAATCAATAAAGAAACATTAGACTGAATGTCCTCTATAGCCCAAATGGATTGAATAGATGATTACAGAACATGTCATTGAAGAGCTACGGAATACTCATTTTTTTCTTCAGCATATGGACTATTCTCAAAGATAGCCCATATGTTATGTCACAAAACAAGTCTTAAAACATTCAAAAAATTGAAACAAAAGCAAACATCTTTTCTGATAACAATGGAATAAAACTAGAAATCAATAACAAGAGTAATTTTGGAAACTATGCAAACACATGATAATTAAACAATATGCTCCTGAATGGCAAGTGACTCAAAGAAGAAATTAAGAAGAAAACAGAAAAATTTATTGAAACAAATGCTAGTGGAAACACAGCATACCAATACTTATGTAATACAGCAAAAGCAGAACTACAAGATAAATTTATGATTTTAAGTGCCCACATTAAAAAAAGAAGTAAAACTGCAAATAAATAACCTAATGATGCATCTTAAAGAACTAGAAGAGCAAGAGCAAACTAAATTCATGGTTAGTAGTAGAAAAAATAAAGATCAGAGCAAAAATAGATGAAATTAAAACTAGAAAGCAATACAAAAAATCAAAGAAAGAAAAAGTTTTCCTAAAAGATAAATGAAATTGACAAAACTTTAGCCACAATAACTAAGAGAAAATGAGAGAAAATCCAAATAAGATCAACAGTAAAAAAGGAGAGATTACAGCCAATACCACAGAAATTAAAAGTATAATTAGTGGTTACTA
Source organism: Homo sapiens (assembly GCF_000001405.40). Classification (NCBI taxonomy): domain Eukaryota; kingdom Metazoa; phylum Chordata; class Mammalia; order Primates; family Hominidae; genus Homo; species Homo sapiens. Next base: position 4,888,064 of record NC_000024.10, on the reverse strand, counting down.
TGAGCAACTATATACCAATAAGTTGGATGATCTAGAGGAAATGGACAAATTTCTAGACATATACAACCTACCAAGTTTGGACCACAGAGAAATTTAAACTTGAAGAGACCAATAACAAGTGACAACAACAAAATTGTGTTAAAAGTCACCCAGTAAAGAAAAGCCCAAGATTCAGTGGTTTCACTGCTGAATTCTACCAAACATTTAAAGTAAAACTAATACCAATCTTACTCAAACTATTTCAAAAATAGAGGAGAAAAGTATACTTCCAAACTCATTCTATAAAGCCAGTATTACCTCAGTATCAAAACCAGACAAAGACACATGAAAAAATAAAAGTACAGTACAATATCTCTGATGAATATTGATGAAAAAATAATAACAAAATACTAGTAAACCAAATTCTATGAGACATTACAAAGATCATCCATCAAGTGGGATTTATCCCAGGAATGCAAGGTGAGATTGACATACACAAAATAATCAAGTTATACATCATATTCACAGAATGAAGAACAAAATCCATGTGATTATTTCAATTGATGCTGGAAAAGCATTTAATAATATTCAACATCCCTTCACTGGGCCGGGCGCGGTGGCTCTTGCCTGTAATCCCAGCACTTTAGGAGCCTGAGGTGGGCAGATCACTTGAGGTTGGGAGGTTGAGAACCTCCCTTCATTATGAAAACACTAAAAAAACTAGGTACAGAAGGAACATACATCAACATAATAAAAGCCACATGACAGGTCTACAGCTAGTATCATCGCAAATGGGGGAAAATGGAAAACCTTTCCTCTAAGAATTGGAACAGGACAAGGATGCCCACTGTCACCACTGTAATTCAACATAATACTGGACATTCTAGCTAGATAAATTAGACAAGAGAAAGATATAAAGCGCATCCAACTTGTTAACAAAGAAGTCAAATTATCCTTGTTTGCAGATGATATGGTCTTATATTCAGTAAAACCTAGAGATTCAGCCAGAAAACTATTAGAACTGATAAATGAATTCAGCAAAGTTGTACATAAAATCAACATAGGAAAATCAGTAGCATTTCTATATGTCAACAGTGAATATTAAGAAAAATAATTAAAATGTAATTTCAATTACAATACCCAAAAAGCAAATTAAATATCTAGGATTTAACTTAAAGAAGTTAAAGATCTCTATAATGAAAACTATAAAATACTGATGGAAGAAATTCAAGAGGATGCAAAAAACTGTAAAGTTAGTTTATGTTTATAGATTGGAAGAATCAATAATGTTAAAATGTCCATACTACCCTAAGCAACCTGCAGATTTAATGCAATCCCAATCAAAATACCTATGACATTCTTCACAGAGATAGAATCAACTATCCTAAAATGTATATGGAACCCCAAAAGACACAGAATAGTCAAAGCTATTCTGAGCACAAATAAAAGCCCCAAAATTGGAGGAATCACATTACCTGACTTCTAACTATAGTAGTTATAGTTAGAAGTAGTTATACAGAGCTATAGTAACAACAAGAGCATAGTACTGGCATAAAAACAGACACACTGACTTCATTAGTCTGTTTTTAAATGGCTGATAAAGACATACCCGAGACTAGGCAGTTTACAAAAGAAAGAGATTTAATTGGACTCACAGTTCCATGTGGCTGGGGAAGCCTCACAATCATGGCAGAAGGCAAGGAGGAGCAAGTCTTATCTTACATGGATGGCAGCAGGCAAAGAGAGGAGGAAGATGCAAAAGTGGAAATCCCTGGTAAAGCCATCAGATCTTGTGATCTCATACCATGAGAACAGTATGGGGGAAACTGCCCCCATGATTCAGTTCTCTCTCAATGGGTCCCTCCCACAACATGTGGTAATTATGGGAATACAATTCAAGATGAGATTTGGATGGGGACACAACCAAACCATATCATTCCACCCCTCCCTGCTCCCAAATCCCACATCTTCACATTTCAAAACCAACTGTGCCTTCCCAACAGTCCCGCAAATCTTAACTCATTTCAGCATTAACTCAAAAGTCCACAGTCCAAAGTCTCATCTAAGAAAAAGTAAGTCTCTTCCACCTATGAGCCTGTAAAACCAAAAGCAGGTTAGTTACTTCCTAGATACAATGGGGGTGCAGACACTGGGTAAATACAGCTATTCCAAATGGGAGAAATTGGCCAAAATAAGGGGCTAAAGGGCCCATGCAAGTCCTAAATGTAGTGGGGAAGTCAAATCTTAAAGCTCTAAAATGATCTCCTTTGACTCCATGTCTCACATCCAGGTCATGCTAATGCAAGAAGTGGGTTCCCATGGTCTTGGGCAGCTCGGCCCCTGTGGCTTTGCAAGGCACAACTTCTTTCCTGGCTGCTTTCATGGGCTGGCATTGAGTGTCTGCAGCTTTTCCAGGCTGTCAGTGGATCTAATATTCTGGGGTCTGGAGGACGGTGGCACTCTTCTCACAGCTCCACTAGGTGGTGCCCCGTGGGGACTCTGTGTGGGGGCTCCAACCACACATTTCTTTTCCGCACTGCCCTAGCAGAGGTTCTCCAGGAGAGGTCCGCCCTTGCAGCAAACTTCTGTCTGGGCATCCAAGCATTTCCATACATCTTCTGAAATCTAGGTGGAGGTTCCCAAACCTCAATTCTTGACTTCTGTGCACCCACAGGCTCAAGCTTGGGGCTTGCACCATCTGAAGCCATGGCCCAAACTCTATGTTGGCCCCTTTCAGCCATGGCTGGAGCAGCTAGGACACAGGGCACCAAGTCCCTAAGCTGCACACAGCTTGGGGAACCTGGGCCTGGCCCATGAAACCACTTTTCCTCCTAGACCTCCAGGCCTGTGATGGAAAGGGCTGCCATGAACACCTCTGACATATCCCTCTGATGTATCTCCATTGTCTTGGGGATTAACATTTGCCTTCTCGTTACTTATGCAAATTTCTGTAGCCAGCTTGAAACTCTCCTTTGAAAATGGGATTTTCTTTTCCATTGCATTATCAGACTGCAAATTTTTCATACTTTTATGCTCTGTTTCCCTTTTAAAACTGAATGCTTTTAATAGCACCCAAGTCACCACTTGAATGCTTTGTTGCTTATAAATTTCACCCACTTGATGCCTTGAATCATTTCTTTCAAGTTCAAAGTTTCACAAATCTCTAGGACACGGGCAAAATATTGCCAGTCTCTTTGCTAAGACATAACAAGAGTCACTTTTGCTCCACTTCCCAACAAGTTCCTCATCTTCATCTGAGACCATCTCATCCTGAACCTTATTGTCCATATCACTATAAGCATTTTCGGCAAAGCCATTCAACAAGTCTCTAGGAAGTTCAAAACTTTTCCACCTTTTTCTGTCTTCTACTGAGCCCTCCAAACTGTTCGAACCTCTGCCTGCTACTCAGTTCCAAAGTCACTTCCACATTTTCAGGTATCTTTTCAGCAACGCCCCCCTCTACTGTTACCTGTATCCATTTGCTATCATGCTGCTGGTCAAGACATACCTGAGACTGGGCAATTTACAAAAGAGGTTTAATTGAACTTACAATTCCATGTGGCTGAGGAAGCCTCATAATGATGGCAGAAGGCAAGGAGGAGCAAGTTCTGTCTTACATGAATGGCTGCAGGCAAAGAGAGAAGGAGGAAGATGCAAAAACAGAAACCCCTAATAAAACCATCAGATTTTGTGAGACTTTTTCACTACCACGAGAAAAGTATGGGGGAATCTGCCCCCATGATTCAGTTATCTCCCACTGGGTCCCTCCCACGATATGTGGGAATTATGGGAGTACAATTCAAGATGAGATTCGGGTGGGGACACAGCCAAACCATATTATTGACCAATAGAAGAGAATAAATAACACAGAAACAAATCCACATATCTATAGTGAACTCACTTTCCACAAAGGTACCAAGAACATACACTGAGGGAAAGATAGTCTCTTTGATAAAAGTTATGGGGAAAACTGGATATTCTTATGTGCACACACACACACACACACACACACACACACACAAGAGTAGAGCCTCTTTCTCACCACATACAAAAATCAAATAAATATATATTAATGATTTAAATCTAAGATGTAAAACTATAAAATTGCTATTAAAAAATTGTTAAACCTCTCTAGGACATTAGTCTGGGCAAAAATTTCTTGAGTAATACCCCAGAGGCAGAGACAATCAAGCAAAAATGGATAAATGGGATCACTTCAATTTAAAAAGCTTCTGTACAGCAAAGGAATCAATCAACAAAGTGAAGAGGCAGCCTATTGAATAGGAGAAAATATTTCCAAACTACTCATCTGTATTAGTCTGTTTTCACACTGCTATAAAGATACTACCTGAGACTGGGTAATTCATAAACAAAAGAGGTTTAATTGACTTACAGTTCAGCGTGTCTGGAGAGGCCTCAGGAAACTTATAATCATGATGGAAGGCAAAGAGGAAGTAAGGCATGTCTCACATGGTGGCAGGAGAGAGAGTGCAGGGGAAACTGACACTTTTAAACCATAAGATCTTGTGAGAACTCCCTCACTATCACGAGAACGGCATGGGGTAAACCACCCCCATGATCCAATCAGCTCCTACCAGGTCCCTCCCTTAACACTTGAGGATTACAATTCAAGATGAGATTTGGGTGGGGATGCAGAGCCACATCATATCACCATCTGTCAAGGAATTAATAACCAGAATATATAAGGATCTCAAACAATTATATGGAACAAAAATCTAACAATTCAATTAAAAATGGGCAAAAGATTGGAATAGACATTTGTCAGAAGAAGACATACAAGTGGCAAACAGGCATAAGAAAAGGTGCTCAACATCATTGATCATCAGAGAAATGCAAATCAAAACTACAATGAGGTATCATCTCACCCCAGTTAAAATAGCTTTTATCTAATAGGCATTAACAAGTGCTGGCGAGTATGTGGAGAAAAGGGAACTCTCAGACATTATTGTTAGGCATGTAAATTAGTACTAACTACATGGAGAACAGTTTGGAGGTTCCTCAATAAACTAAAAAACACAACTACTGTATGATCTGGGAATCTCACTGCTGGGTGTATACCCCAAAAAAGGGAAATCAGTATATCAAAAGGATATCTGCACTCCCATGTTTGTTGCAGCACTGTTCACAATAGCTAAGATTTGGAAACAACTGATGAGCCCATCGACAGCTGAATGTATAAAGAAAATGCAGTACATACACACAATGGAGTACTATTTTTTTTAATATTTGAAGACATTTATTCTGAGCCAAATGTAAGTAACCATGACCCATGAGACAGCCCTCAGGAGGTCCTGAGAACATGTACCCAAGCTCACTGGGGTGCAACTTGATTTTATACATTTTAGGGAGGCATGAGACATCAATCGAATATATTTGAGAAATACATTTGTTTGCTCCAGAAAGGTGGGACAATTCGAAGTGGGGGCCTCTAGGCTATAGGTAAATTTAAATATTTTCTGGTTGATAATTGGTTGAGTTTGTCTAAAGACCTGGGATAAATAGAGAGGAATGCCAGTGTTGTAATAAGAGGTTGTGAAGTCCAAAGTTTTATCATGCAAGTGAAGCCTCCAGGTAGCAGGCTTCAGAAAGAATAGCTAGTAAAAGGTTTTTTATCAGAGCTGTTGATGTTAATGGCAGAGAGGTATAATGAGGCATGTCTGACCCCCACTTCCCTTCATGGCCTGAAACAGTCTTTCAGGTTAAAATTTAAGAGCCCCGGCCCAGGAGGAAGTTTATTCAAATGTTTGGGGAGGCCTTAAAATTTTATTTTTGGTTTACATTTTCCCTCTTCTGGCCAAGATTTGCCAGAGAAACATCAAAGGCCAACAAATCTTTATTTTGTTCCATAGTGTTGCCTGGGTGGCGTGGCTGCCTGCCCTGCATCCATCCTGTCCCTTGGTAGGACTCCCTATGGCTGAGGGCCTTAAGAGTCAAAGACTTATAATCAATTAATTGTTCTAGGCCAGATATAAAAGGTTGTGGACAGGCATTCATTACCTCCTAAAATTATTTTAAGAAAAAATCTCAGCAAACAAAACCGAAAGGCAACGTTACCAGACTGACTTATTTTTAACTTCTATGTGTTGAGCTATGTGTAAACTTTGTTTTAGTTACAGACTTAAAGCAATTTGCTATACAAAACATAAGCATTGTTCTGAAAAATAACTAATATGTAGATAGATAGATTTATCTTTACAACTTATAACTAGGAGTTTTATACCCAGTGGGTTTTGTTACAAGGTATTTTATCCTGTTAGTAAATATTTTCCTTTAATTCTATACTAAGCAGAAAATTCTTTATGGTTGGAGTGGATGCAAAAGTGACACATAATAGTTTAAAAGGCAACTAAATTTGTTTTACAGGCAGCTTAGGCATCTTTGTACCCCTTCTTGATTTGGAGGGTTTGACCATGACCTAATTTTATACCTCAAAACCAGCCCTTACAATCTCATGTGCCTGCCTCTTCTACGACAGTCCCTGGGCCTAGAGAGAGGCTGTGTGTATAGTTTTAGCAGCAGAACATTCACAGGGAAACAGATCTGTGTCCAGTGGGATGGCAAATGAGGGAGAATCAAATCTGGTCTTCAGAATACCGTGATTTTGATTTCCTTGGAAGTAAAACAGAGATGAATAACATTTATACTTCGACAATTATAAGACTAACTTTTGTGTTAGAATAGACAAAGGAACCTCTTTCAAAAGGGTGCCAACTAAAAATATGAAGACAAATTATAATCTGGTACACTCTAAAGGATTATTGTAGCCAAGAAATAATTCATGATATAATCTGCACATAAAGAAACAAAGTTAGTGTCGAAATCTTGTATCAACTGTTACACTTTTCCTTATGAAACAATTTCTTTAGCCCCTTTCTTTTCTACTAAAGAGAAATTATATTAAGACCCATTTCTATGTTATAGGCTTATTATGCTTGGCCTGATTATTTGCATAAAATGCACAAGAATTGATTGGCCATATAGGCTCGTTTTAAGTTGGCTGTGATGGAACTTTACCTAAAAATATGCTGTTTTAGTTAAAGCCTTGGTAAAATAACCAGTGTTTTCAATTGTTCTGTTTTAAAAGACTCTTATTGAACTTATGCAAATACCTATATTGTCCTAAAGTCACGATCTGAAATTTGGAGAACTCAGAGAGAAAAGCAATTCGTTACAAAAAAAAATACTTTACCCAAATAACTTAAAAGTAAAGATTTTCCTGACACTTCTTTAAATAGAGCAGTGGCTTTTAAACAAGATGTTTGTTTACGTTGGAAATGGCATTCACAAGCCAAGCAGTACGTGAGAGCTATCAGACATTTTAGAAACTAGCAGCTCCTCACAGAATTAGAATTAGTCCTAGGAAAGAGGCCCCCTGCTTATCAGTAACTCCTCCTTATATTCCCAGGTAGCAAGATTCTATGTAAACCATTTTTATTCTATTATGGAACTCTCTCAGGCACCACACAATGGAGTACTATTCAACCATTAAAAATGATATCCTGTCATTTGCAAAAACATAGATGAAACTTGAGGTCATTTTGTTAAGTGAAGTAAGCCAGACACAGAAAGACAAACTTTGCATGTTCTCACTTATTTGTGGGAGCTAAAACTTAAAACATTTGAACTCATGAAGATAGAGAGTAGATGAATGGTTACCAGAGATTGGGAATGGTTGTGGGTGAGTGGGGGTAAAGAGGGAATGGTTAATGGGTGCAAACAGTAGTTAGAAAGAGTGAATAAGACCTACTATTTGATATCACAACAAGAGGACTACAGTCAGTAATAATTTATTTTTACATTTAAAAATTAGTAAAAATGTATAATTACATTGTTTATACTATAAAGGATAAATGCTCGAGGGATGAAGATCCCATTTACTGTGAGGTGATTATTATGCATTGCATGCCTGTATCAAAGTATCTCATATACCCTATACATATATTTACCTACTTTGTGCTGACAAAAATTAAAAATAAACACAATTTTAAAAGTAAAGAGTAATGCACCAATCATCCTTTATGAGGTAGGGGTAAGTTGTGGAGTTAAAATTTGATATTAACTAATTTACTGCCAAGAACCTCTAAGTTCAAAGGCTAATATAGTATGGTCCTTGTGCTCAAGGAGCTTGACATCTAACAAAGAAAAAAAAAAGACATATTTTTAAATTTGGTACAATAAAATAAAAACTGCTAGAAGTATTAAATACTTCTAGAATTTACCTTTTAGTTCTCTAGATCTCTCTAACTTGAGAGTTTAGGTAAGAACATGTTCCTTTTGTCTGAATCACTAAACATTCCAAAACAAAGTATATCTATATTGCCATGTGTGTTTAAATAGCTTTTTGAATTTAAACTGCGGGTATTTTTTTTGATATGCTAGTATTGTTTTCCTAATCTGTTATCCAATGTACACTTCAAAAAAGGATCTATATGCAGTCATATGCTGTATAATGATATTTCAGTGAACAATGATATGGTTTGGCTGTGTCCCAAATCTCATCTTGAATTGTAACTTCCACAGTTCCCACGTGTAAAGTGAGGAACCCAGTGGGAGGTAGTTGAATCATGGGAGTGGATTTTTCCTGTGCTGTTCTTGTGATAGAGAATAAGTCTCATGAGATCTGATGGTTTCAAAAAAAGGGAGGTTCCCTGCATAAGCTTTCCTCTTTGCCTGCTGCCATCCATGTAAGACATGACTTGTTCCTCCTTGTCTTTCACCATGATTGTGAGGCCTCCACAGCCACGTGGAACTGTAAGTCTATTAAACCTCTTCCTTTTGAAAGTTGCCCAGTCTCGGGTATGTCTTTATCAGCAGTGTGAGAACAGACTAATACAACAGTGTTTCAAGGAGAAGGATACTTTTAGTTATTATGCTCAGGATTAAAAGATTACTTTGGTTTTCTTTGATTAACATACCATTTCCATTATAGTATGAGAAATCCGAGATCAAAGTGGGATTAACACCCATCCAGTGGGGCTTCCATATGAAACCACCTACAATCTTAACATGGAGTTTTCAAAAGGAATAAATCAATGAAATAGATGTAATATATACTTCTGTGTTTATAAATCAAATCTAAAAATGGACTTGAGCATTATGACATACCAGTATAAAGAAATTTTTGTGGATATGTGTGACTGATTTTAGTCATTGTTAATATTCTTATAAACCTTTAGAAGAACATTTCTTTCATATTCAGGTTGCTGTATAACATGAAAACTTTGAGTTATGACTACCAAGCCCAGGAGGATGCAAAGAAAAGAACCAGCTAGAGTGTAGTGCATACTGATGACTATCCCACTCTCCAGTCCTTTTTCATATCGGCCTGTAGAGGGAGTATTGGTAGTGTCCTCAGAGGCTTTTCTAGCTTTTGTAGCACATGCTTTTCCAAACTCTCAATAGGAGAGTTGGAGAGTGAGATTAAAAATCAAATTATAAATTTTTATTTAAGTTTTTGAATTGTACAGGGAATTGTACATTTGAAGTCTATCAAATATTTTAACTCCAATTAATTAACTTTTTATTCAAAACCTATAAACAACTGCATTTTTTCATGCCAACCATGAAAAGTTTAAGCTAACAATACACGTTTTGTTTACTTATCCAAAGTTTCAGTAGAAATAGTATAAGAGCAAAGAATGTTGGATAGATAATTAATTAACAAATAGTACCATGGGGAAATATTAAAATCTACTGTTTATCTCCTATATTGACATATTTACATCTGTGTGTGTGTGTTTGTGTGTGTGTGTGAATGTGTGTGTATGGAAATGAAACATTTAGTCGATAAGTGAGGAATATCTATTTAACTTTTAATATTAAGCAAATGGTTCACACTGTCTAGACAGTACTTATTGAATAATCATGCATAATCACCAAAATGATTCAAAAGCAATGAAATCCAAATGTTAAATTATTGCACAAATAATTGCTAAGATTGATTTTTTAAATTGATTTTTAAATCATTGTGTTTCACATCTGTTTTCTATTCAGTTTTGACTTTAATATATTTCTCCCTCTGTATATATTCTACCAGATATTCTCCAATAAGTTAGGTATCATATTTAGCAGTTTGTTTTACCTTGGTCTTCTAGTAAGGCTCTCTCTTTCACTGATTTTGCATTCCACTGCAATAGTTTTTCCCTGTTTACTCAGTTATCTCATACTACTCCTTTAGCTCTTAAGTGAGAGTCCATTGTGAAAACTTCCCTTTGGCTTTTGACTAGGTAAAATCTCTATTTTATGTTGCCATAGTACCATTTTCCTCCACTTCATTGCAGTTTTTACAGTTCTAATTAAATATTTATTAGTAATGATTAATAATTAATTGGTAATTTGATTAATGTCATTTCTCCTAAGAAGATGGTCAGCCACATGAAATGAACTTTACCTATTTTGGCCCTACATTGTTTGTTTTTTCTTCTCCTGTCACAGTGCCTGATATGAAGGAGGCACTCAAATAGGTATGAAAATAAGGGGGGAGGGAGGAAAAGAAAGAAGGAAGGAATGGAGGGAGGAAGGTAGGGAAAAGTAGAAGGAGGGAGGAAATGCCATAATAAAGCTTCTTGTTCAGCTGGAGTAAAATTAAACAGACTTCATTTCCTCTCTTTGAACATACAGATGAATAATTATAATGCCTCTTAATTTTTTATTTTATAAGTAGCATTGGTTAATCAGTAGTCATCTGTAGGGCCGGGTAGTTGCCCAGAAAAACTTCCTAAACTAAGAGAAAAAAAAGAAATTTTTACTTCTTGATCTCAGGATTTAGTGATTCAACAGGAATTCAAGGGAGGTGCTTATGTATGTGGGTACATTTTACTAAAGAGTAGTGAACATCACATTGGAAATCATGTTCACTATTTGGATGAAGCTGGTTCTTACTCATACAAGAAAGCTTGACTCTGGGTGCAAAGTAATAAAATATTTCTCCAACTCCTTTGTATGAAAACCTTGTGGAATAGGAGATGTAACACACATAGCTAGATGAGAGAGATCCAATCCACTTCCAAATCCTCAGCAATTCTTCTTCTCTTTTTGGGAATTAGTTGGTTGTTCCACTAGTAATCAAAATTCAGATGGAGATTGAAACTTTTGTTTCAATATTTCTGAATGTTGTTCAGGTACCCCTTTGGTTTAAAAATTCTTACTCAAGTTTTACCTTGACAACTCTACTTTTTTTTTAATGTATTTCCCTGTGGAAATTATACATTTATTTTAGTAATCATTCATTTAAACTTTTTGCATTTATGTGTTAAGTGTAACTAAAAATCTTTTTACTCTCATCAATCATAACACTGCTTTTTCTTTATAAATTACAGTAAAATATTAATTGGATGTGGATGTAGGGGCGGAGGTGGAGAGTGGGTGTTGACAAAGAATAAAAATGCATAGCTTATATTTTATGAATGATCAAATTGAATAGAACTTGAGAAAGAGATGTCAAGATGCATAGCTCATTTTCTTAAGCATTTTCTTCATATGTTCTCTTTCTATTTCAAATGTAATTTAATGCGGAGATGATTACAATGTGCAGGAAAACATAAGCTCCCTAAGCAAAGCCAAATGATATTGACTAAGCGTTGTGTCACTGGAAGCAGACATTTACACTCTCTGATGTTTTAATTTTTCATTTAATTTTTTGATAATGCAGCACAGTTGCTTCTCTCTGTCTCAGACAGGAAATAGAAAATATGAGAAGCTAAATTGTTAGAGGGTTTGTATCTACTTACCAGGGTTATTTTAAAAAAATACTTCCTCTATTTTTTTTATATCCCAAAGTCAGAGGCCTCCCAGGATAATAAAAGAGATGTAATTGACTTATTATCTGTCAAAAATAAAATACAGTTAGTCATCCAATATTAAATCTAAAAGAATTGTAAATCCTAAAATGATATTACTTATAATCATGTTCTCATTTACCTTGGATATATAAATACGCAGTTCGATGCTCTATCTTTTCCTATTTCCTGCACTCTGATCAATGTCTCTATGACCTACTGCTATATAGAACACATCTATTTCATGAACATTTATTTGGGTTATCAAATAAAGTAAATAAAAAAAACTTTTATTCTAAAAGCATCCAGTTGATCTTATAAAAGTCAAACCACCTATTGCAAGGCTTCCAGTTGTTTGATTTCCAAAATTGAGGCTAATGTTCAAATCTTCCCCACTTTTAGCAATTTAGAAAGTTTTATTTTGTTTGTATCAATTTGAATCACTTGAATTTATAACTCAGAATTTTAGCTTGGAAGGTTGTATGCCTTTGCTATTTTTATTTCTTCCAATATTAAAGGGCTTTTAAATCAATGTTTTTATGGTTAACCAATATGGTTTTATTAGATATGTGATTACACCTAGAGAGTAATAAGGAGAAAAATCTAGAAAAAGGAATCACAGCCACTTTTGAAATTACCACTTACACAAAAATAAAAATAACGATTGGTATCACAATTTTACTGCCTGCTGTGATGATGATGAACATAAAATGAGTAGCACCCTTCTTTACACAGCGCCTATTATGTGTCATCTACTGTGCACTCAGTATCCATTATAGATAGGCATTATTATTATTTACCAGTCACGAATCTAGATAATTAAGACCTTAGTCCCCCAACTGGTAACTGGCTAAAATTAAACCCAATTTTGTTATGCATCAATGCCCACTCTCACTGTTTCTGCACTGCACTGGTAGAGTAAGGTGTAACCATGATACAACGTTTAACTCCCTCCGTAGCTCAAATCAGATGAACCTGTACCCTCTTGTAAAGAATTCTGTTTTATCACTCTACTCACATGTCCAAATGAAACTGTATACTTGGTGGAAACAATTCACAGGGTGGCTTAATTCTTCAAATTCTTCAAGTAGGTAATGGTTTCCTTCATGCAGGTTATTTTTTGCCACCATACCAGAGAATCTATATGTATTTGTAACACAGGGTTAAAAACCAATATTGGTCAGCTTGGGATTTAGTTTTGTTTTTGAGTTATAGAAGAAACTTTGTAACAATCAAGGTCAGAAGCCAAGAAAGGCAATACAGTCTATTTATCACAACACAGCTCACTTTAGTGATCTCTCCTACCATGTTACAGGGTAACACTGAGAGCACTTGTGATTTTCACCTATCTTAAGGGTATATTTTGATAATGCTCCCTACTAGAAAATTTTGCTTTAGTAAAAAATTTTTACAAACTGTTAGTGACTTTTGAGTAGCTCAAGTACCAGGACTTCTAGACATCCATTACAAAAAAAAAACACGGGTAAGTGTTGATTGATTCTGCAACAAGCCAAAAGTAGGAGGCACAGAGCTGCCTAGAAACCTAGATAACTTCTTGTAGCCCATTCTGATGCTATGATTTCACGAGTCTGTGGTAATGGTAATGAGGATGATTTTTGTTTTTTCAACTACCAAATCAAAACCATTACAGAACACATTCTGAAATTTCCTAGATGATGAAACTTAAAGTTTGATTAAATTGAGAATTGTTAAATAGTGGCTACAGGGCATGCCACATAGTTAGACAAAGAGTAAATCTTTTATATATATATATGTGTGTGTGTGTATGTATATATATATGTATATATATATAATTTTACTTTAAGTTATAGGATACATGTGCACAACGTGCAGGTTTGTTACATATGTATACATGTGCCATGTTGGTGTGCTGCACCCATTAACTCGTCATTTACATTAGGTATATCTCCTAATGTTATCCCTCCCACCTCCCCCTACCCCACAAAAGGCCCTGGTGTGTGATGTTCCCAATCTTAAGTTAGAGTTTACTATCCTCCTCAAAAGAGGATGTAGGGTTATAGTTGTGTTGTTGATACACACACGTGTGCGCACACACACACACATATGTATATATAATGCCACGTCTTTATTTTCCTGATGCCTGATTAGTGCCACAGAATAAAATGTGAAGATTCTTTAACAGAAAGTTCAAAGTATGTTCAAAGTTATGAAATTATTTAAACATTTTGTCTATATTCATTACATTAAACTAAAGGGGAAAACTGATCTAGATTCCAAGTTAGGCCATTCTATAGAAAAGAAAGAACATAGGAAATGATTCAATGATTTAATTTTTTTGATCATAGTATCTTAGCTTTACATCAGAGTGCCTATTATGTGCTAGTTGGAATGGAAGGAGGATGCAAACATGAATTAGAGGGGACTCTTACCTATGAGGAGCTCACAGTATAGCAAAAATTATAAGAAAAATGACACGCTTTTACTTAGCGAGCACTCAAATTTCAGATACTCCTCAACTTATAATGGGGTTACATTTTGATAAATACATCATAAGTTGAAAATACTGTAAGTCAAACTTGCATTTAACACACCTAATCTAGTGAACATCATAGCTTAGCTTTGCCTACCTTAAACATGCTCAGAACATTTACATTAGTCTATAGTAGAGCAAAATCATCCAACACAAAGCTATTTTAAAATAAAGTGTTGAGTAACTCATGTAATTTATCAAATGCTGTACTGAAAGTTAAGAAAAAATTGCTGAATTATGGTTTCTACTGAATGTCTATTGAATTTTCATCATCATCAAGTAAAAAAAAATAAGTTGAACCATCCTCAGTCAGGGATTGTCTGTATATCCTTTCAGTGTGCTTTATCTGGAGACAATCTTGGAAAGCACAGTGAAACCATTTTTTTTAATTCAATGGTTTATTAACTAAAACTGTAGCCAGAAAAATGACTCAATACTCCTTTCTTTAGGGCCCAGATTAAGTTAGTTTATAAATCTTTCACGAAGTATTCCCTATTTCCAAATAAAACTACTTTTTATTGTAATTTCTATATTGCATATTGCCTAAACAACTACTCTATAAATTATATGCTACTTTGTGCCATTATTTACACCTTTATGAATAAAATTTTCTGTATTAGAATATAAGCTAAATGAGAGTAAGGGTTTATTTTGTGTGTTTGTACAGAAAGGGTTCAACAAAATTTGTTAAATGAATGAATAAAGTAAGTAAAGGAGGTGTTTTATTATTTGTTAAATAGCTTCACAAATAATTCATTCTGATTATTCTGTTTTAATTGGCCAAGATACTTCTTACAATTGGGCTAATTCTGTTTTTCTCTTGCTTTGAAGCAGTACAAAACAAGCAGACACCCATGGCCTTTCCATGTCTAAGGTGAGTCTAATCTAAATATCCATGAATTATACTTAAAATTATGACTGATTAAATGTGCTGAGAATCCTATAAAAAAATGATAGCTTTCTTAATATTTGCTTTGAATCAACATTGTTACTAGCTCCTTTGCTAATTGGTTGAGTGCTTTCTAGATTTAAAAAAACACTAAGTATGGTGGGATTTTGCATAGATATGCATACACACACAAATACACACATCAACACCCCAAGTTAGACTAGACAGAAAACAACCCCTTAGACAGTCCCTCAAAAGCCTGGAGCATTAGATGTGCATGCTTCAGTCTTCTTTTTTTTCTTTTCTGGTTTTTTTTTGTTTTGTTTTTTGGTTTTTTTAAGATTTTCTTTGATTTTTTTTTCTTTTTAAATTATTATTATACTTTAAGTTTTAGGGTACATGTGTACAATGTGCAGGTTAGTTACATATGTATACATGTGCCATGCTGGTGTGCTGCACCCATTAACTCATCATTTAGCATTAGGTATATCTCCTAAAGCTATCCCTCCCCCCTTCCCCCACCCCACAACAGTCCCCAGAGTGTGATGTTCCCCTTCCTGTGTCCATGTATTCTCATTTTTCAGTTCCCATCTATGAGTGAGAACATGCGGTGTTTGTTTTTTTTCCTTGAGATAGTTTACTGAGAATGATGATTTCCAATTTCATCCATGTCCCTACAAAGGACATGAACTCATCATTTTTTATGGCTGCATAGCATTCCATGGTGTATATGTGCCACATTTTCTTAATCCAGTCTATCATTGTTGGACATTTGGGTTGGTTCCAAGTCTTTGCTATTGTGAATAGTGCCACAATAAACATATGTGTGCATGTGTCTTTATAGCAGCATGATTGATAGTCCTTTGGGTATATACCCAGTAATGGGATGGCTGGGTCAAATGGTATTTCTAGTTCTAGATCCCTGAGGAATCGCCACACTGACTTCCACAATGGTTGAACTAGTTTAGAGTCCCACCAACAGTGTAAAAGTGTTCCTGTTTCTTCACATCCTCTCCAGCACCTGTTGTTTCCTGACTTTTTAATGATTGCCATTCTAACTGGTGTGAGATGGTATCTCATTGTGGTTTTGATATGCATTTCTCTGATGGCCAGTGATGATGAGCATTTTTTCATGTGTCTTTTGGCTGCATAAATGTCTTCTTTTGAGAAGTGTCTGTTCATATCCTTTGCTCACTTTTTGATGGGGTTGTTTGTTTTTTTCTTGTAAATTTGTTTGAGTTCATCGTAGATTCTGGATATTAGCCCTTTGTCAGATGAGTAGGTTGTGAAAATTTTCTCCCATTTTGTAGGTTGCCTGTTCACTCTGATGGTAGTTTCTTTTGCAGTGTAGAAGCTGTTTAGTTTAATTAGATCCCATTTGTCAATTTTGGCTTTTGTTGCCATTGCTTTTGGTGTTTTAGACATGAAGTCCTTGCCCATGCCTATGTCCTGAATGGTAATGCCTAAGTTTTCTTCTAGTGTTTTTATGGTTTTAGGTTTAACGTTTAAGTCTTTAATCCATCTTGAATTAATTTTTGTGTAAGGTGTAAGGAAGGGATCCAGTTTCAGCTTTCTACATATGGCTAGCCAGTTTTCCCAGCACCATTACCTAAATAGGGAATCCTTTCCCCATTGCTTGTTTTTCTCAGGTTTGTCAAAGATCAGATAGTCGTAGATATGCGGCATTATTTCTGAGGGCTCTGTTCTGTTCCATTGGTCTATATCTCTGTTTTCGTACCAGTACCATGCTGTTTTGGTTACTGTAGCCTTGTAGTATAGTTTGAAGTCAGGTAGGGTGATGCCTCCAGCTTTGTTCTTTTGGCTTAGGATTGACTTGGTGATGTGGGCTCTTTTTTGGTTCCATATGAACTTTAAAGTAGTTTTTTCCAATTCTGTGAAGAAAGTCATTGGTAGCTTGATGGGGATGGCATTGAATCTATAAATTACCTTGGGCAGTATGGCCATTTTCATGATATTGATTCTTCCTACCCATGAGCATGGAAAGTTCTTCCATTTGTTTGTATCCTCTTTTATTTCATTGAGCAGTGGTTTGTAGTTCTTTTGTAGTTCTCCTTGAAGAGGTCCTTCACATCCCTTGTAAGTTGGATTCCTAGGTATTTTATTCTCTTTGAAGCAATTGTGAATGGGAGTCCACTCATGATTTGGCTCTCTGTCTGTTATTGGTGTATAAGAATGCTTGTGATTTTGGTACATTGATTTTGTATCCTGAGACTTTGCTGAAGGTCCTTATCAGCTTAAGGAGATTTTGGGCTGAGACGATGGGGTTTTCTAGATATACAATCATGTCATCTGCAAACAGGGACAATTTGACTTCCTCTCTTCCTAATTGAATACACTTTATTTCCTTCTCCTGCCTAATTGCCCTGGCCAGAACTTCCAACACTATGTTGAATAGGAGTGGTGAGAGAGGGCATCCCTGTCTTGTGCCAGTTTTCAAAGGGAATGCTTCCAGTTTTTGCCCATTCAGTATGATGTTGGCTGTGGGTTTGTCATAGATAGCTTTTATTATTTTGAGATACATCCTATCAGTATCTAATTTATTGAGAGTTTTTAGCATGAAGCGTTGTTGAATTTTGTCAAAGGCCTTTTCTGCATCTATTGAGGTAATCATCTGGTTTTTGTCTTTGGCTCTGTTTATATGCTGGATTACATTTATTGATTTGCGTATAGTGAACCAGCCTTGCATCCCAGGGATGAAGTCCACTTGATCATGGTGGATAAGCTTTTTGATGTGCTACTGGATTCGGTTTGCCAGTATTTTATTGAGGATTTTTGCATCAATGTTCATCAAGGATATTGGTCTAAAATTCACTTTTTTGGTTGTGTCTCTGCCCGGCTTTGGTATCAGGATGATGCTGGCCTCATAAAACGAGTTAGGGAGGATTCCCTCTTTTTCTATTGATTGGAATAGTTTCAGAAGGAATGGTACCAGTTCCTCCTTGTACCTCTGGTAGAATTCGGCTGTGAATCCATCTGGTCCTGGACTCTTTCTGTTTGGTAAGCTATTGATTATTGCCACAATTTCAGATCCTGTTATTGGTCTATTCAGAGATTCAACTTCTTCCTGGTTTAGTCTTGGGAGAGTGTATGTGTCAAGGAATTTATCCATTTCTTCTAGATTTTCTAGTTTATTTGCGTAGAGGTGTTTGTAGTATTCTCTGATGGTAGTTTGTATTTCTATGGGATCAGTGGTGATATCCCCTTTATCATTTTTTATTGCATCTATTTGATTCTTCTCTCTTTTTTTCTTTATTAGTCTTGCTAGCGGTCTGTCAATTTTGTTGATCCTTTCAAGAAACCAGCTCCTAGATTCATTAATTTTTTGAAGTTTTTTTGTGTCTCTATTTCCTTCAGTTCTGCTCTGATTTTAGTTATTTATTGCCTTCTGCTAGCTTTTTAAATGTGTTTGCTCTTGCTTTTCTAGTTCTTTTAATTGTGATACTAGGGTGTCAATTTTTGTTCTTTCCTGCTTTCTCTTGTGGGCATTTAGTGCTATAAATTTCCCTCTAAACACTGCTTTGAATGTGTCCCAGAGATTCTGGTATGTTGTGTCTTTGTTCTCATTGGTTTCAAAGAACATCTTTATTTCTGCCTTCATTTTGTTGTGTACCCAGTAGTCATTCAGGAGCAGTTGTTCAGTTTCCATGTAGTTGAGCAGTTTTGAGTGAGTTTCTTAATCCTGAGTTCTAGTTTGATTGCACTGTGGTCTGAGAGACAGTTTGTTATAATTTCTGTTCTTTTACATTTGCTGAGGAGATCTTTATTTCCAAATATATGGTCAATTTTGAAATAGGTGCGGTGTGGTGCTGAAAAAAATGTATATTCTGTTGATTTGGGGTGGAGAGTTTTGTAGATGTCTATTAGGTCCGCTTGGTGCAGAGCTGAGTTCAATTCCTGGGTATCCTTGTTAACTTTCTGTCTCATTTATCTGTCTAATGTTGACAGTGGGGTGTTAAAGTCTCCCATTGTTATTGTGTGGGAGTCTAAGTCTCTTTGTAGGTCACTCAGGACTTGCTTTATGAATCTGGGTACTCCTGTATTGGGTGCATATATATTTAGGATAGTTAGCTCTTCTTGTTGAATTGATCCCTTTACCATTATGTAATGGCCTTCTTTGTCTCTTTTGATCTTTTTTGGTTTAAAGTCTGTTTTATCAGAGACTAGGATTGCAACCCCTGCCTTTTTTTGTTTTCCATTTGCTTGGTAGATCTTCCTCCATCCTTTTATTTTGAGCCTTTTTGTGTCTCTGCACATGAGATGGGTTTCCTGAATACAGCACACTGATGGGTCTTGACTCTTTATCCAATTTGCCAGTCTGTGTCTTTTAATTGGAGCATTTAGTCCATTTACATTTAAAGTTAATATTGCTATGTGTGACTTTGATCCTGTCATTTTGATGTTAGCTAGTCATTTTGCTCATTAGTTAATGCAGTTTCTTCCTAGTCTCGATGGTCTTTACATTTTGGCATGATTTTGCAGCAGCTGGTACCGGTTGTGCTTTTCCATGTTTAGTGCTTCCTTCAGGAGCTCTTTTAGGGCAGGCCTGGTGGTGACAAAATCTCTCAGCATTTGCTTGTCTGTAAAATATTTTATTTCTCCTTCACTTATGAAGCTTAGTTTGGCTGGATATGAAATTCTGGTTGAAAATTCTTTGCTGTAAGAATGTTGAATATTGGCCCCCACTCTCTTCTGGCTTGTAGAGTTTCAGCCGAGAGATCCGCTGTTAGTCTGAGGAGCTTCCCTTCGTGGGTAACCCGACCTTTCTCTCTGGCTGACCTTACCATTTTTTCCTTCATTTCAACTTTGATGAATCTGACAATTATGTGTCTTGGAGTTGCTCTTCTCGAGGAGTATCTTTGTGGCATTCTCTGTATTTCCTGAATCTGAATGTTGGCCTGCCTTGCTAGATTGGGGAAGTTCTCCTGGATAATATCCTGCAGAGTGTTTTCCAACTTGGTTCCATTCTCCCCATCACTTTCAGGTACACCAATCAGATGCAGATTTGGTCTTTTCATATAGTCCCATATTTCTTGGAGGCTTTGCTCTTTTCTTTTCATTCTTTTTTCTCTAACCTTCCCTTCTCACTTCTTTTCATTCATTTCATCTTCCATCGCTGTTACCCTTTCTTCCAGTTGATCACATAGGCTCCTGAGGCTTCTGCATTCTTCACGTAGTTCTCGAACCTTGGCTTTCAACTCCATCAGCTCCTTTAAGCACTTCTCTGTATTGTTTATTCTAGTCATACATTCTTCTAAATTTTTTTCAAAGTTTTCAACTTCTTTGCCTTTGGTTTGAATTTCCTCCTGTAGCTCGGAATAGTTTGATCATTTGAAGCCTTCTTCTCTCAGCTCATCCAAGTCATTCTCCGTCCAGCTTTGTACCATTGCTGGTGAGGAACTGCGTTCCTTTGGAGGAGGAGTGGTGCTCTGCTTTTTAGAGTTTCCGGTTTTTCTGCTCTGTTTTCTCCCCATCTTTGTGGTTTTATCTACTTTTGGTCTTTGATGATGGTGATGTACAGATGGGTTTTTGGTGTGGATGTCCTTTCTGTTTGTTAGTTTTCCTTTTAACAGAAAGGACCCCCAGCTGCAGGTCTGTTGGAGTTTGCTAGAGGTCCACTCCAGAACCTGTTTGCCTGGTTATCAGCAGCGATGTCTACAGAACCGCAAATTTTCCTGAACCGCTAATGCTGCTGTCTGATTGTTCCTCTGGAAGTTTTGTCTCAGAGGAGTACCCGGCCGTGTGAGGTGTCAGTCTGCCCCTACTGGGGGGGTGCCTCCCAGTTAGGCTGCTTGGGGGTCAGGGGTCAGGGACCCACTTGAGGAGGCAGTCTGCCCATTCTCAGATCTCCAGCTGCGTGCTGGGAGAACCACTGCTCTCTTCAAAGCTGTCAGGCAGGGACATTTAAGTCTGCAGAGGTTACTGCTGTCTTTTTGTTTGTCTGTGCCCTGCCCCCAGAGGTGGAGCCTACAGAGCCAGGCAGGCCTCCTTGAGCTGTGGTGGGCTCCACCCAGTTGGAGCTTCCAGGCTGCTTTGTTTACCTAAGCAAGCCTGGGCAATTGTGGGCGCCCCTCCCCCAGCCTCACTGCCACCTTGCAGTTTGATCTCAGACTGCTGTGCTAGCAATCAGGGAGACTCCGTGGGCATAGGACCCTCCGAGCCAGGTGCAGGATATAATCTCCTGGTGAGCTGTTTCCTAAGCCCATCGGAAAAGTGCAGTATTCGGGTGGGAGTGACCCAATTTTCCAGGTGCCGTCTGTCACCCCTTTCCTTGACCAGGAAAGGGAACTCCCTGACCCCTTCTGCTTCCTGAGTGAGGCAATGCCTCGCCCTGCTTTGGCTCGCACACAGCGCGCTGCACCCACTGTCCTGCACCCACTGTCTGGCACTCCCTAGTGAGATGAAACTGGTACCTCAGATGGAAATGCAGAAATCACCCGTCTTCTGCGTTGCTCACGCTGGGAGCTGTAGACCGGAGCTGTTCCTATTTGGCCATCTTGGCTCCTCCCCCCCAGTCTTCTTTTGCCCCCTGAGAAAGAGGCCAAACAAGCTCAATGGGCCCTCTAAGACAGCAGGATGCTGCCTGGATCTTTTGACTGCACTGGTCTCCAGGAATCTAGAGTATGCTGTCAGTGCTCCAAGACAGGTTAAATATAAGCCAGTCACTCCAGAAGCCTCCCCAAAAAGTCACAATGTTAGTAACATGGTCCAGTCTTCTCTTTCCTTCTTTAGTGAGAAGCTGGAAGCTAAAAGTTTCCTCCCTGTTGTGTGTCCTTGTGCTAGGGAGGGACTGAGGTGATAGACTACCACAAATTTTCCTACCATTTTCAATATGGTTGGTATTGTGCTTGCTTGGGGGTGTAGGAGCCTCTTACCTGGTTTCTAAATGTCTCATAAAAGGAAATGATCAGACTATTATAGTTGAATTGGTGTTTCTGTGGGAAGAAGGAAGATCTAGGGCTTCTTACTCTGCCATCTTTCTAACATCCCTCTCCCCTCCAGACTTCCATATTGTTTTAATTAGTATATTGATGGTTAATATTGAATGTCAACTTGATTGGATTGAAATATGCCAAGTATTTTTCCTAGGTTTGTCTGTGAGGGTGTTCCCAAGGGAGATTAACATTTGAATCAGTGGACTGGGAGAGGCAGACCCACCCTCAATCTGAGTGGGCATCATTTAATCAGCTGCCAGCACAGCTAGAGTAAAGCAGGTAGAAGAAATTGGAAAGATTAGACTTGCTGAGTCTTCTGGCCTTTATCTTTCTCCTGTGATAGATACTTCTTGCTCTATAATAACAGACTCCAAATTTTTTGACTTTTCGACTCTTAGACTTACACCAGTTGTTTGCCAGGGGCTTTCAGGACTTTGGCCACAGACTGAAGGCTGCACTGTCAGCTCCCTACTTTTGAGGTTTTGGGACTTGAACTAATTCACTGTTGGCTTTGTTGCTCCTAAAGTTGCAGATGATCTATCGTGGGACATTACCTTGTGATCATGTGAGTCAACTCTCCTTAGTAAACTCCCTTTCATATATACATATATCCTATTAATTCAGTTCCTCTAGAGAGACAGAGAGAGAGAGAGAGAGAGAAAGTTTTGACATTGGGAAGTTTTGACATTGGGAAGTGTGACTCCTCTAATTCTATTCTTCTTATTCAAGTTTTTTTTTGGCTCTTTGAGGCTACTTGCAGTTTCATATTAATTTGATCATCAACTTTTTCATTTTTGCAAATAATACTGTTGGACTTTTGACATTAATTTTATTGAATATGTAGATTGCTGTTGGTGGTATTGACATCTTAACAATGTTAAGTCCCCTTGTTAATAAACATAAATATATTTTCATTTGTTTAGATGTTCTTTAATTTCTTGCATAAACCTCTTGCACATCTAATCACATTCTGGATTCTACTTCTTGAAGGATCTGGGCTAACATAAATATCAAAATTCTACCGGTTGAAAATAAATTTATTTATATTTCAATTTGATTGCTTAATGAGCATTAGGTTTGGTTCTATTTTGTTCAAGACATGAGCTCCTTGATGGAAAGTGAGATTAACATTAAATTAAGTAATTGTGATAACCAGATCTGTGGTTTACATTTCACACATATTAATGTGTAATATTTCTCTTCAGTGACCTTGAATTTTTGTAAGTAAAATATAGACAAATTTTCATTCAGTTCACACAGGACTTGACAAATATTTCTGATGTGATAATTATCTAATTGTATTGCGATAATTTCATACTTTCTTCTACTATATTGTGAAATCCACAAAGTGGGAAAAAGCATCTTATCTTTATTTATATTCCTAATGCCTAGCAAAATCTCCAGGAAATAGTTGTTCTTCACAAATGTTTATTGAATGAAAAAGAATACTAAGCCCCAATAAGATTTAAATGTTAATGCAAATTTGTCTTAAACATATCTAATACAGAAACTGGATAAATTATCTAAGAGAGATCACTGGAATTTAATAGAGTAGTGATAAGAAGCACTGAAAACAAAGAAAAAGAGAGAAGCAAGGCAGCTTTTTTTTGGCTGGGATCAGCTGGGAGTCTGGAGAGGCTCCCTACTGCAAGGAAAACATAAGTGAAAGACACACCCAGTGGTCCATAGTCCCACCACAGACTTCTGCAATCCTAGCCATGGGAGAGCCTCTCAAGCCTCATAGGCCCTGAAATTAGCATAAAATGCTGCCTGGAGACTACATAAAGGCATTGCTCCAGAGACTGAGCTTATGCTGGGTCCCACAAACCTCTGAGTCCTAAGCAAATGAAGCATGGCACCATTTTGGGAACCTAGCCCCAATCAGACTACATCCAGCCCTGCTGCTCAACACCCTCTGCATCTCCACATTCCTGGAGCCCCATTGACATTTCTCACCCACATCTGTCACTGTCAGGGTTTGGCAGGAACCACTAGCAGTGACCTCATGCCACCTTGACCCCCAGCAGAGGAGAAGTGATACATTTTCATGCACCCTGAGAACAAATTTCCCTGCCTATAACCACTTGCGTACTGCTGCAGCGCTTAGGTTCAAGTGAAGTGTGTGACACTCAGCCAACTCCCTATGGCTGCTCCCACAGAAAGCAACCATGTCCTCCCCCAGAAGCGGGGACATGGCACAGCTGCTACCCTCACAAGAGCATTTTGCCTGTGGCCTGGGGATCACCCTGTTCCTGCCTACCACACCCAGCACATGCATGCACCACCAGGGGGCCTGTCAGGGTGATTGTCCATCCCACTATTAACCCTGCAGAGCCCAAGCATGTCATCAAGAAGCCTGTAAATAACCCAGCCCTGTCTACCACTATTGGCGCCTGAGTACTCCTCCCGTTGTCTGAAGTCATGCCCACTCAACCTGCTGCTAACATTACAGCTGGCATCCACCTGTATGTGCCACATGTGGGCCTGGGGACTAGACTGGCTAGCCCATCACAGTCAGCACCCATTCCAGTGTGGATAGTTTGGATCCTGGAGCTTTTCCCACCACTACTACTGCCATCACCAATGCCACACTCACTGCCCAGAAGCTCATGAATCCACTTACTTGCCTGGCCCACCACTGCCATCCTAGGAAACTAAACAAGCAACATTGAGACCCAAGATCAGGATGCCTGAACCTACTAAAAACAGTGTCAGCATATATTACCCTGGGACCTAAGGACAGGTATGCTTAGTCCACCACTATCTGGGGCATAAAGGCAGGCCAACTTAGTGTCCCAGTTTTTAGCAAAACTTCACCACAGTTTCTACTATCAACCACACCCTAAGGTACTGAGGAAATAATAAGATACTACTGACACTGTTTACAAATGAAGAAATCACACAGAGACTACACTACTCCAACCCCATAGATACATCTTCAGGAAAAAGTCCTCTCCCAAATAAGTACATTTTTAAAATTGGAAGAAGCTACTATTACAGCAGATGCAAAAAATATTAATGTAAGGGCATGAGAAACATTAAAAAAGCAAATAAACATGACACTTCCAAAGGAACACAACAATCCTCCAGCAGAAGACCTCAATCAAAAATAAATTTTAAAAATTATAGTAAAATAATTTAAAATGTTGGTACTAAATAAGTCTAGTAAGACACAAGAGAATACTAAAAATAAATACAGAGAAATGAAAAACAAATTCAGGATATGAATAAGAAATTTACCAAAGAGATAAATATCATTAAAACAACAAACAAACAGAAATTCTGAAATTAAAGAATACATGGCATGAAATACAAAATACATTTGAAAGCTTCAATATAGACTAGCTCAAGCTAAAGAAAGTATGTTGGAACTTGAAGACAGGTATTTTGAAATAAACCAGTCAGACAAAAATAAAGACAAAAGAATAAAAAAGATGAGCAAAATCTACATGACATATGGGACACCATAAAATGATCAAATATTGGTGTTACAGAAGGCAAAAAGAAAACAAGAGGTTTAGAAAGTCAATATAACAGGATTGCTGGCAAGATGGTCTAATGGGAACACCTCCAGTCTGCAGCTCCCAGAGAGATCAACACAGAATGTGGGTGATTTCTGCATTTCCAACTGAGGTACTCGGTTAATCTCATTGAGACTGGTTAGACAGTGGGTGCAGCCCGCAGAGGGTGAGCCGAAGCAGGGTGGGTTGTCACCTCACCTGGGAAGCACAAGGGGTCAGGGAATCTTCTCCTTTACCCAAGGGAAGCCTTCAGGGACTAAACCTGAGGAACCATGCACTCTGGCCCAGATACTGTGCTTTTCCCGCGGTCTTTGCAACCTGCAGACCAGGAGACCCCCTCCAGTGCCTACCTCACCAGGGCCCTGGGTTTCAAGCACAAAACTGGGCAGCCGTCTGGGCAGATACCAAACTAGCTGCAGGAGTTTTTGTTTTCCATACCACAGTGGCACATGGAATGCCAGCAAGACAGAATTGTTCACCCCCCTGGAAAAAGGTGCTGAAGCGAGGGAGCCAAGTGGTCTGGCTCAGTGGGTCCTACCCCCATGGAGCCCAGGAAACTAAGATCCACTCGCTTGAAATTCTCCCTGCCAGCACAGCAACAGCCTGAGATTGACCTGGGGTGCTCCAGCTTGGTTGGGGGAGGGGCGTCTGCCATTGCTGAGGCTTGAGTAGGCTGTTTAACCCTAACAGTGTAAAAAAAGCCTTGGGGAAGTCCGAACTGGGCAGAGCCCACTGCAGCTCAGCAAGGCCACTGTGGCTAGACTGCCAGATTTCTTCTCTCTGGACAGGGCATCTCTGATCAAAAGGCAGCAGCCCCAGTCAGGGACTTATAGATAAAACCCCATCTCCCTGGAACAGAAATAATGGGCAAAATAACCAGGTAGCATCATAATGACAGGATCAAATTAATACATAACAATATTAACCTGAAATGTAAATGGCCTAAATGCTCCAATTAAATGACACAGACTGGCAAATTGGATAGAGTCAGGACCCATCAGTGTGCTGTATTCAGGAGACCCAACTCACATACAAAGACATACATAGGCTCAAAATAAAGGGATGGAGGAATATTTACCAAGAAAATGGAAAACCAAAAAAAAAAAAGTAGAAGTTGCAATCCTAATCTCTGATAAAACAGAATTTAAACCAAAAAAGATCAAAAGAGACAAAGAGGAGCATTACATAATGGTAAAGGGATCAATGAAACAAGAAGAGCTAACTATCCTAAATATATATGTACCCAATACAGGAGCACCTAGATTCATAAAGCAAGTTCTTAGAAACCTACAAAGAGACTTAGACTCCCACACAATAATAGTGGGAGACTTTAACATCCCACTGTCAATATTAGACATCAATATTAGACACATCAATGAGACAGAAAATTAACAAGGATATTCAGGACTTGAACTCAGCTCTGGACCAAGCAGGCATAATAGACATTTACAGAACTCTCCACCCCAGGTCAACAGAATATACATTCTTCTCGGCACCTCATCACAATTATTCTAAAATTGACCACATAATTGAAAGTAAAACACTCCTCAGCAAATGCAATATGATGGAAATCATAACAAACTGTCTCTCAGACCACAGTGCAATCAAATTAGAACTCAGGATTAAGAAACTTACTCAAAACTGCATAACTACATGGAAACTGAACAACCTGCTCCTGAATGACTACTGGGTAAATAACGAAATGAAGGCAGGTAAAAGATGTTCTTTGAATACAATGAGAATGAAGACACAATATACCAGAATCTCTGGGAAACATTTAAAGCAGTGTGTAGAGGGAAATTTATAGCACTAAATGCTCACAAGAGAAAAGATGAAAGATCTAAAATTGACACACTAACATCAAAATTAAAAGAACTAGAAAAGCAACAGCAAACAAATTCAAAAGCTAGCAGAAGACAAGAAATAACTAAGATCAGAGCAGAACTGAAGGAGATAGAGACACGAAAAACCTTTCAAAAAATCAACGAATCCAGAAGCTGGTTTTCTGACAAGATCAATAAAATAGATAGACTGCTAGCCAGACTAATAAAGAAAAAAAGGAGAAGAATCAAATAGACCCAATAAAAATGATATAGGGGATATCATCATTGATCCCACAGAAATAAAAGCTACCATCAGAGAATACTATAAGCACCTCTACACAAATAAACTAGAAAATCGAGAAGAAATGGATAAATTCCTGGACACATACACCCTCCCAAGACTAAAGCACGAAGAAGTCAAATCCCTGAATAGACCAATACCAAGTTCTGAAATTGAGGCAGTAACTAATAGCCTACCAATCAAAAGAAGTCCCAGACCAGATGGACTCACAGCTGAATTACACAAGAGATACAAACAGGAGCTGGCACCGTTCCTTCTGAAACTATTCCAAACAATAGAAAAAGAGAGACTCCTCCCTAACTCATTTTATGAGGCCAGCATCATCCTGATACCAAAACCTGGCAGAGACACAACAACATCAAAAAATTTCAGCCCAATATCCCTGATGAACATCCATGTGAAAATCCACAACAAAATACTGGAAAACTGAATCCAGAAGCACATCATAAAGCCTATCCACCACGTTCAAGTTGGCTTCATACCTGGGATGCAAGGCTGGTTCAACATATGTAAATCCCTAAACATAACCCATCACATAAACCGAACCAATGACAAAAACCACATGATTATCTCAATAGATGCAGAAATGGCCTTCAACAAAATTCAGCACCCCTTCATGCTAAAACCTCTCAATAAACTAGGTAGTGATGGAACGGAAGTCAAAATAATAAGAGCTATTTATGACAAACCCAGTGCCAATATCATAAAGAATGGGCAAAAACTGGAAACATTCCCTTTGAAAACTGGCACAAGACAGGGATGCCCTCTCTCACCACTCCTATTCAACATAGTGTTGGAAGTTCTGGCCAGGGCAATCAGGCAGGAGAAAGAAATAAAGGGTATTCAATTAGGAAAAGAAGTCAAATTGTCCCTGTTTGCAGATGACATGTTATATATCTATAAAACCCCATAATCTCAGCCCAAAATCTCCTTAAGCTGATAAGCAACTTCAGCAAAGTCTCAGGATACAAAATCAATGTGCAAAAATCACAAGCATTCTTATACACCAATAACAGACAAACAGAGAGCCAAATCATGAGTGAACTCCCATTCACAATTGCTTCAAAGAGAACAAAATACCTAGGAATCCAACTTACGAGGGACGTGAAGGACCTCTTCAAGGAGAACTACAAACCACTGCTCAATGAAATAAAAGAGGATACAAACAAATGGAAGAACATTCCATGCTCATGGGCAGGAAGAATCAATATCATGAAAATGGCCATACTGCCCAAGGTAATTTATAGATTCAATGCCATCCCCATCAAGCTACCAATGCCTTTCTTCACAGAATTGGAAAAAAACTACTTTAAAGTTCATACAGAACCAAAAAAGAGCCCGCATTGCCAAGTCAATCCTAAGCCAAAAGAACAAAGCTGGAGGCATCATGCTACCTGACTTCAAACTGTACTACAAGGCTACAGTGACCAAAACAGAATGGTACTGGTACGAAAACAGAGATATAGACCAATGGAACAGAACAGAGCCCTCAGAAATAATACCACGTATCTACAACTATCTGATCTTTGACAAACCTGACAAAAACAAGAAATGGGGAAAGGATTCCCTATTTAATAATTGGTGCTGGGAAAACTGGCTAGCCATATGTAGAAAGCTGAAACTGGATCCCTTCCTTACACCTTATACAAAAATTAATTCAAAATGGATTAAAGATTTAAATGTTAGACCTAAAACCATAAAAACCCTAGAAGAAAACCTAGGCAATACCATTCAGGACATAGGCATGGGCAAGGACTTCATGTCTAAAACACCAAAAGCAATGGCAACAAAAGCCAAAATTGACAAATGGGATCTAATTAAACTAAAGTGCTTCTGCACTGCATTGTTCATCAGAGCGAACAGGCAACCTACAGAATGGGAGAAAATTTTTGCAATCTACTTATTTGACAAAGGGCTAATATCCAGAATCTACAATGAACTCAAACAAATTCACAAGAAAAAAACAAACAACCCCATCAACAAGTGGGTGAAGGATATGAACAGACACTTCTCAAAAGAAGATGTTTATGCAGCCAAAAGACACATGATAAAATGCTCATCATCACTGGCCATCAGAGAAATGCAAATCAAAACCACAATGAGATACCGTCTCACAGCAGTTAGAATGGCGATCATTAAAAAGTCAGGAAACAACAGGTGCTGGAGAGGATGTGGAGAAATAGAAACTCTTTTACACTATTGGTGGGACTGTAAACTAGTTCAACCCTTTTGGAAGTCAGTGTGGCGATTCCTCAGGGATCTAGAACTAGAAATACCATTTGACCCAGCCATCCCATTACTGGGTATATACCCAAAGGACTATAAGTCATGCTGCTATAAAACACATGTACATGTATGTTTATTGCGGCACTATTCACAATAGCAAAGACTTGGAACCAACCCAAATGTACAACAATAATAGACTGGATTAAGAAAATATGGCACATATACACCATGGAATACTATGCAGCCATAAAAAATGATGAGCTCATGTCCTTTGTAGGGAAATGGATGAAGCTGGAAACCATCATTCTCAGCAAACTATCGCAAGGACAAAAAACCAAACGCTGCATGTTCTCACTCATAGGTGGGCATTGAACAATGAGAACACATGGACACAGGAAGGGGAACATCACACACCAGGGCCTGTTGTGGGGTGAGGGGAGGGGGGAGGGATAGCATTAGGAGATATGCCTAATGTTAAATGACGAGTTAATGGGTGCAGCACACCAACATGACACATGTATATATATGTAACAAACCTGCACGTTGTGCACATGTACCCTAAAACTTAAAGTATAATACAAAAAGAAGAAAATAAATAAATAAATAAATAAATATTTGTTGATTACTTAGTTTTGTTAGAAGGAAAGCAGTTTTAGTTGGATGGGTTTGTATGAGTACCATTTGTTTTAGATTTGTTAGAGGAGACGTCTTCAAGTTGAACAGATTTCAGTTGTGTTGGCATATAGAGTCATGTTAACCAGTATAAAAGAGTATAGAAAGTCAATTGGGTGTGATTATAAGTGTGTAAAAGAGTTTAATGAAGAAAAGAATAAGCATTTGGTAATAAACTTGCAGCATAGGGTAATTTGCCACATAGGCTAAAAGACACTTTTTATATTGATAGTAAAGGAGTCAATAGCTGGTATGACTGCCTTTCCTACTCTGTATTGGATTACACCTGCAGCTGTCTCAATTGTTTTTGTCATTTTAGTGTCAGCATATTGGACTACTGCTGGACTACTACATATTGGATAGTGCACTATATGATGGCAACAGCTGGACAACTGCTGGACTGCTGTGTCTAATTATTATAGCAGATGGCTCTGTCTTGACAATTAATTTTGAAATGTACAACATGCTGAGGATACAAATTTTATCCTATTTATACCAGGATAAAGATTTAATAATTTTAAGATATAAGAATTTTAAAGGGCAATACATACCAATAAATAAGTGTTAAGGTAAAATAAGCACTTTTAACTGTCTATTGTCACAGCATTAAAAAAAATCCTGATAATGGAATCATCACTTTAAGTCCTGCTATAACTAATCAATGCTATACTGACAATGATAGCTTTTGTCAAATTTGACTTTTTCCCCTCAATGGACTCTCAAGAGAGGAATTTGATGGAGGAAATAAGTTATTTTATTTCTATGTCATAAGAACTACTTCCTCTTGAACTGATTAAATAAACGTTTCTAATACACATCTGTATTTGATAAAAATTTGCCATTTCTCAGTGAGAAAATTGCTATAAAAGTTTAAGTGTGACAAATTTTACCTTAGTGGTAAGGAAACTTTGATGGTATTAAACATCAATAAATCAAATACATCTCATCAGGTATGTTCGTTTCTAAATTATTCAAACTTACTCCACTATCATCACTCAACCTGTATCATTGAGTTCATGTTAATTTTAATACCAGAAACTGTCCAGTACTGGAAAGCAACATGTTTTAGTGGAAAGTACAGTGATTTAGGAGTCAAAAAAAATGGTTTTAATCATGTATGTTGATAATGGCCTTTTAATAAGAAATAACACTGCTGAATTTTAGTTTTCTAATCAGTAAGATAAGAATAACATCAACCCAGTTTTCAGGTTCTTTTTTCTGATTATTAAATGAAGTAACAACAATGAAAACACTTTGAAAATGTAAATAAGACCATAAATATAGAAATAATATTTTCTCATTATGTTATTTGGGCAATTTCTACTTTCAGGTCGGAAAAATCACTTAACTATGCTCCTTCTTTGGAAAGAGGTATCAACACATCTGAATCTTGAAAGAAATTGAAAATTTCTTGGCCTCTGTATTCACTTGCATGTTGAATTGCATTTAGCATGGTTCTCAGTAGTGAGGTATGTTTATTACTTACTTGAACAAAAGGCCTTTTACTACACACGCACACACACACACACAAATAATTCTAAAATCCTTATAGACTTAGCAATCTGACAGTCTTACAGATGTGTAGTTCTTAAAATCATAGACTTCTCTGGTAAGAAAGAACCTTCATAGTTACGTAATCTTTTCTGTAACATACATAACTTGTGTTTCAGTCTGGGTTCAAATGTCTAAAGTAACATAGCATTTACTTTCTGAGATAAATATTAGAAAAAGCTTATTTATATTGACTCAAAAATTGCCCATGTACATCTTCTACCCACTGGGGTCCTGGCTTTCCTGAAGACCACACAGGATACTCTAATCCCTTTTCTCCATGACAGCCTTTAAGTTATTGGAAATTTGCTCTCAGGACCATCCAATTTTCTTTATTTTAGGTTAAACTTTTGATGTTACTTTAAATGCTTTTCTTGTAACACAATTTAGTTTACAGGGAAGCAAGTGCAGTGGTCCCAAGAAGAGGCAGTGAGAACCTAACTTAAGGTGCTTGCTCTGGAACTGAAAGGAGAGATCAATGCAAACATATATTATAGACCTTGAAAGAAACAGGACTTAAAAACAAATTGGTTTTGTGTGGCCTGTAAGAAGTGAAAGATGACACTGATATTTCAAGCCTAAGTCGATGGAAAGATAGATAGTGGAAAGATATTGGCACCATTCACATGAATAAAAAATGCAGAAGATTGAGTTTCAGAGGGGAGAAGCTAATCTGATGTTTAGAAACAGACTTTTAGCTACAGATAGGGTATGTACATGAAAATGAGTAACACACCATAGAAAATATGAACTTAGAACTCAAGAGAGTACACAAGACAAAAATATAAACAACAAAATATTGAAGACTTCTGGTAAAAATTAATATTCAAAAGAGATCAGTTATAATCCATTAAGAGTTGATGAGGCCTGCGGTAAACTAGAAAATGCATGCTCAGTTTGAATGCTGACCATACAAGCCATATCTGTAAATCAAGTTTTGTATAGAGATTGTCAGCTTATTATCTCTGGTATGTGTCAAGATGAGAGTTAAGAAAAAAAATCCCAGGTAAAAACATGCATTTATACAAAGAGGAATATGAACCAGAAAAGCAGAATATAAAGTTGCATGAAACTGAGGAGTGGTTAATAAAGGAGAAAGAGGAGAGCTAAGTACATATGCAGAATTACAACAGCCAGGGAAGAGACAAATGAAAATAAGTCAAATGACAAAGAGCACTAAGATGAAAAGACTGTTGGGTATTTTAGTCAGTGACTCCCCTGAGTGACATAGTACATTTTAAAGTGTCATGGGAAAGGTTTACAGAATAATTTGGACAATAGGGTTTTAGAAGCGTAAATATATTATTCTTTTAAGAATTTTGTAGTGAAGAGAATTGAAAGACAGCATTGCAGCTTGAGGGGGTGATACCGTTTGGCTGTGTCCCCACCCAAATCTCATCTTGAATTGTAGTTCCCATAATCCCCATGTGTCATGGGAAGGACCCGGTGGGGGGTAATTTGATCGTGGGGGTAGTTACTCTCATCCTGTTCTCATGATAGTGAGTGAGTTCTCATGAGATCTGATGGTTTTATAAGGGGCTTTTCCCCCTTTCTCTTGGCTCTTCTCTCTCCTGCCACCTTGTGAAGAAGGATGTGCTTGTTTACCTTTCCACCATGACTGTAAGTTTCCTGAGACCTCCTCAACCATGCAGAACCATGAGTCAATTAAACCTCTTTACTTTATAAATTACTCAGTCTTGAGCATTTCTTCATAGCAGCATGAGAATGGACTAATACAGTTAACTGGTACTGCACAGAGTCGGGTACTACTATAAGGAAACCTGAAAATTTGGAAGCGACTTTGGAACTGAGTAACAGGCCAAGGTTGGAACAGTTTGGAGAGCTCAGAAGGCAGAAAGATGTGGGAAATTTGGAATTTCTTAGAGACTTGTTGAATGGCTTTGACCAATATGCTGATAGTGGTATGGACTATGAAGTCCAGGCTGAGGTGGTCTCAGATGGAGATGAGGAACTTTTTGGGAACTGGAATGAAGGTGACTCTTGCTATGTTTCAGCAAAGACATTGGCAGCATTTTTCCCTGCCCTAGAGATTTGTGGAACTTTGAACTTGAGAGGGATGATTTACGGTTTCTGGCGGAATAAATTTGTAAATGGCAAAGCTTTCAAGAGGAAGAAAGCATAAAAGATTAGAAAATTTGCAGCCTGATGATACAATAAAAAACAAAAATTCTTTTTCTGGGGAGAAATTCAAGCTGGCAGCGGAAACTTACATAAGTAATGGAGTGCCAAATGTTAATCACCAAGACAATGGGAAAAATGTCTCCAAGACGTGTCAGAGACCTTCATAACAGCCCCTCCCATCACAGGCCTGGAGTCCTAGGAGAAAAAAAATTAATTCCTGGGCCATGCCCAGGGCCCCCTGCTGTGTGCAGCCTAGGGACTTAGTGCCTTGCATCCCAGTGACTCAAGTAATGGCTAAAAGGGGCCAAAATATAGCTTGGGCCATTGCTTCAGAGGGTGCAAGCCCTAAACCTTGGCAGCTTCCATGTGATGTTGGTCCTGTGTGTGCAAAAGACAAGAATTGAAGTTTTAGAACCTCAGCCTAGGTTTCAGAGGATGTTTGGAAACACCTGGATGTCCAGGCAGAAGTCTGCTGCAGGGGTGAACCTTCATGAAGAACCTCTGCTGAGCAGCATGGAAAGGAAATGTGGGGTCAGAGTCCCCACACACTGGGGCACTGCCTAGTGGAACTGTGAGAAGAGGGCCAATGTGCTTCAGACACCAGAATGGTAGACCCACCTACAGCTTTCATTGTGCGCCTGGAAAAGCCACAGACACTTAGTGCCAGCTACAAAAGCAGCCAGGAGGGGGGCTATGCTCCACAAAGCCACAGGGGTAGAGCTGCCCAAGGCCATGGGAGCCCATCCTTTGCATCAGTGTGTCCTAGATGTGAGACGTGAAGTCAAAGGTAGTCATTTTGGAGCTTAAGGTTTAATGACTTCCCTATTGTATTTTGGACTTTACTATAACCTGTAACCCCTTCATTTTGGCCAATTTCTCCCATTTGAAATGGGTATATTTACCCAACACATGTACCCTGATTGTGTCCAGGAAGTAACTAATTTTCTTTTGATCTTACAAGCTCATAGGCAGAAGAGACTTACCATGTCTCATATGAGACATTGGACTTGGATTTTTGAGTTAATGCTGGAATTAAGACTTTGGGGGACTGTTGGGAAGGCATGATTGGTTTTGAAAATGTGAAAGGAACATGAGATTTGGGAGGGGCCAGGGATGGAATAATATGGTTAGGCTTTGTGCTCCCACCCAAATCTCATCTTAAATTGTAATCCCCATAATCTTCACATGTCATGGATGGGACCAATTGAGAGGTAATTTAATCATAGAGGTGGTTACCCTCATGCTGTTCTCATGATAGTGAGTGAGTTCTCATGAGATCTGATGGTTTTATAAGGGGCTTTTAGCCCTTTTGCTCAGCACATTTCTCTCCTGCCACCTTGTAAGGAAGAGCATGTTTGCTTCCCCTTCTGCCTTGATTATAAGTTTCCTGAGGCTTCCCCAGTCCTGTGGAACTGTGAGTCAATTAAATCTCTTTCCTTTATAAGTTACCCAGTCTCAGAGATTTCTTCACAGCAGCATGAGAATGGATTAATACAGGGAGTATAGGGATTTAGGGAAGTTTATTGTTTTTCTGTGTATGAGATCATTGTGAATTTGTTTTCATAATAAAGGGAAAAGATCTGTTTTTGAGTGAGAGGTTGAAAATAAATGAAGCAAAAGTCTGAGATGAGAGAAGGGAAGAAGAATGAATCCAGTATTTTAGAAGGAAAGAGACAAAATGTTTTCCCTGACATAAGAAATAAAATGGTGGTCGGTATAAATATACATAAATCTAAAAGTTGAAAAGGAGACCTTGAAGGAACTCATGTGATGATGTTTCCAACCCAAGCTAGATACTGATTATTTTTGATAATACTTAATTCAAGAAAAGCTAGAAATATGTTTTTTTAAAATTATTTTAACTTTTATTTTAAGTTCAGGGATACATGTGCATGTCTGTCATACAGAAAAACTTGTATTTTGGGGATTTCTTGCACAAATTATTTTTTTCACCCATGTATTAATATGCATGTATCAAACCTAGGACCCATTAGTTATATTTCCTGATCCTCTCCCTCCTTCCACACTCCACCCTCTGATAAACACCAGTGTCTGTTGTTACTCCCATGTGTCCATGTGTTCTCATCATTTAGCTCTCAGTTATAAGTGAGAACATCTGGTATTTGGTTTCTTGTTCCCGCATTAGTTTGTTAAGGGTAATGGCCTCCAGCTTCATACATGTTCCTGCAAAGGACATGATCTTGTTCTTTTTTTTATGGATGCATGTTATTCTATCCATCTATGTTTTAAAATACCAGTATTAACAATTAATTTTCTAATAAAAAGGTAGTTAAATTTACCTGCACTTATCAAAATGATGAATTGTGTTCAACATGGTTCTCAATAGTGAGAAT
Organism: Homo sapiens; assembly: GCF_000001405.40. NCBI lineage: Eukaryota > Metazoa > Chordata > Mammalia > Primates > Hominidae > Homo > Homo sapiens. The sequence continues at coordinate 4,851,343 of NC_000024.10, read as the reverse complement.
GCTTAACTTGCAAAAAAGACCTTTATTGACAAAAATAAAGAACAAAACAAAATTTCAGGATATTTGCTCATTTTGTGTGCATGTAATTATTTCCATTGTAAAATATCTACTAAAATAAAATTTAGTTTTTTAATTCTTATATTTTTCATTTATAATAAATCTCTAAAGAGTACTGTTACTGTTGATTTTTGATATTGGTTCTTGTAGTTTATGAACTTAAGAAAAAAATAGTAAAACTTCAAAGAAATACAGTTACCATGTGATATGTTTAGTTCTTAAGCATCACAGGAAACACAAGACAAAACATCCCTTTCTTTCATAAATTTTTTTGATAAATATTTCTTGAGAACTCTGTCAGCCACAGCTGCCTTTGAAGCAATGGAGTGATAGTGCTTTATGCCAATGGAAGTAAAAATTTGTAGCTTATGAATGTGAGTACATTTTAGAGCTCAATAGAGTGATTTTCTTCTTCTGTAGTCATTTTTTAATATATTCTTATATATGTTCATTAATATACACCCCAAAAATGTGTGAATATACATATTCTGTGAGTAGGAGTTTGAGGTTTAAGATAAACCTCAATGTCTAAGAATCTCAGAAGGAGAGTTGTGTTGTACTTATTGTGTAACTAGTGAAGATGGAAATCTTTTCAACAATGTGTTTATTATACATTTCAAAATGTGTTGTATATTCAGATTTCTTTTTACAGATAGAACTAACTACAGTGATGCAAGGCATAAGAACATTTCAGTCAAGGATAGACAGCATAGAGGAAGGTAATCCTATAAGATTATAATGGAGCTGAAATATTTGTATTGCCTAGTGACATTGTAGGCATTGTAATGTTGAAGTGCAGTGTGTTACTCACATGTATATGGTAATATAAAAGTATAGCATAGACAATTATATATACAGAACATAATGCTTGATGATAATTATAAACAACTATGTTACTGGTTTATGTATTTACTAAACTTTTTATAATTAATTTAGAGTATACATCTTCTATTTATATACATAAAAAGTTAACTGTAAAACAAAACTCAGACAGGTCCTTCAGGAGTCATTCAAGAAGAAAACATTGTTACATTGGAAATGACAGCTCCATGTGTGTGTTATTGCTCCTAAAGTCCTTTCAGTGGGACAAGATATGGAGGTGGAAGGCAATGATATTAATGATTCTGACCCTGTGCAGGTCTAGACTAATGTGTGTGTTTGTGTCTTAGTTTTTACATAAAAAGTTTAAAAAGTAAAATATTAAAAAATTAAAAAATAGAGAAAAGTCTATCAAATAGGGATATGTGTAAAATATTTTTCTACCGCTGTGCAATATGTGACTTAAGCTGTTATTACAAGAGTCAAAAAGTTACATATGTTTATGAAGTTAAAAAGTTACATAAGCTAATATTAATCCATTATTTAAAAAAGAAACACCTTATTCCTTTTATTTTTAGTTGCCACCTAATAATTGCACATATTAATGGGATACAGAGTGATATTTCAATACATGTATACAATGTGTAATGATCAAATCAGGATAATTAATATATCCATGACCTTAAACATTATTTGTTTTCACTGCGAACATTCAAAATTATCTCTTCTAGCTTTTAAGAACATACACTGAATTATTGTTAACCTTATTCACCTTATAGTGCTGTATAATGCTTATTCCACTCACCTTGCTGTAACTTTGTACCCATTAACCAACCTCCCCTTATTCTTCCCCCACACTTTTCCCAGCCTCTAATAACTGCAATTCTACTCTAAACTTCTGTGAGCTCAATTTTATTTGTTTAGCTCCCACATATGAGTTACAACATACAGTATTCATCAGAAATAAATATTTTAAAATAAATATTGTGTAGTCTAAGAGTACAGTGTCTATACATTCTAAAGTAGGGTATAATAATATGCTAGCCCTTCACATCCATGCACCGCTCACTCACAGACTCACCTAGAGCAATCTTCTGTGCTGCAAGATTTACTCATTATAAGTGCCCTATGCAGGTATTGTTTTTTGAATCTTTTATATTATATTTTACTGTAACTTTTCTATGTTTAAATATGTTTAGATATTCAAATACTGACCATTGTTTTCCAATTGCCTACGCTATTCAGTACAGTAACATGCTGTACAGGTTTGTAGTCTAGAAGGATTAGGCTGTACCATATAGTCTAGTTATGTAGTAGGCTATAGTATCTAGGTTTTTGAATTACATTCTATGATGTTTGCACAACAGTGAAATTGCCTAACTATGCATCTATGTCATTAAGCAATACATGACTGTACAGTGTGCAAATGTAAACACTTCCACCACTTTGTTTCCTCTATAAGGTAAAAAAATAGATGAAAATGTATTTATCTCAACTCTCAAAGCAACATATTTTCTCATTTAGTAATATAGGTTAGGTAATATATTCTCATAATGAAGAATAATCCAGTTATGGGGTAAAACGGTGACATTATTATGGGTGAAATCTTGTGAGAGAAACAACTAAAGCAAAATTCATTTCCTCAAACAAAATTATTGAAATCTCTGTAAAAGTAAGTTATCTTGAAGACTTGAAGTCTTTTTCTTCCTCTTTATTTTATTTCAATAGTTTTGGGGGCACAGGTGGTTTTTAGTTACATGACTAAGTTCTTTAGTGGTGATTTCTGAGATTTTGGTGCACTTGTTACCTCAGCAGTGCACACTCTTCCCAATGTGTAGTCTTTTATCCCTCACCCTTCTGCCACCCTTCCCCTGAGTCCTCAAAGTCCATTATATCACTCTGTACCTTTGTATCCTCATATCTTAGCTCCAACTTATAAATGAGAATATATGATATTTGGTTTTCCATTTTTGAGTTACTTCACTTAGAATAATGGTTTCCAACTTCACCCATGTTGCTGAAAATGCCATTATTTCATTCCTTTTTATGGCTGAGTAGTATTCCACGGTGTATATATACCACTTTTTAAAATCCATGCATTAATTGATGGGCATTTAGGTTGGTTCCATATTTTTGCAATTGTGAATTGTGCTGCTATAAACATACGTGTGCAAGTGTTTTTTTAAAAATATATAATGACTTCCTTTGCTTTGGGAAAATACCCAGTAGTGGGATTGCTGGATTGAGTGGTAGTTGTACTTTTAGTTCTTTAAGGAATCTCCATACTATTTTCAATAGTGGTTATACTAGTTTACATTCCCACCAGCAGCATAAAAGTGTTTCCTTTTCACCACATCCACCGCAATGCCTATTATATTTTGATTTTTTAATTGTGGCCATACCTAGAAGAGTAAGGAGATATCTCATTGTGGTTTTCATTTGCATTTCCTTGATAATTAGAGATCTTGAGTATTTTTTCATATGTTTGTTGGCCATTTGTATACCTTCTTTTGAGAATTGTCTATTCATGTTCTTTGCCCAGTTTTTGATGGGATAATTTTTTTTTCTTGCTGATTTGTGAAGAATGTCGCTGGTATTTTGATAGGGATTGCATTGAATCTGCAGATTGCTTAGGGTCATATGGACATTTTAACATTTTTGATTCTTCCAATACATGAACATGGAATATCTTTCCAGTTTTTGGTGTCCTCTACAATTTCTTTTGTCAGTGTTTTATAGTTTTCATTATGAAGATCTTTCACTTTGGTTAAATAAATTCCTAGCTATTTAATTTTATTTCTGGCTATTGTAAATGGGATTATACTTAAAACCCTTTTTTGATTTTACAATGTTACCATATAAAAATGCTACTGATTTTTGTATGTTGATTTTGTGTTCTGCAACTTTATAGAATTTGCTTATGAGTTCTAATAGTACTTTTCATGGAGTCTTAAGGTTTTTCTAAATGCAAGATCATATCATCTGCAAACTTGGATTACCTGACTTCTTCCTTTCCAATTTGGAGGCCCTTTATATGTTTCTCTCATCTGATTGCTCTAGATAAGAATTCCAGTACTATGCTGAATAACAGTGGTGACAAAGGGCATCCTTGCAGTGTTCCAGATCTTAGAGGAAAGACTTTCAGTTTCTCCATTTTTAGTATAATACTAGCTGTGGGTCTCCCATATATGGGTTTTATTATACTGAGGTATGTTCCTTTTATACCCAGTTGTTTAGGGTGTTTATCACGAAGGGACGTTGAATTTTACAAAATGTTTTTTTTAGCATCAATTGAAATAATTAATAAACTTTTTGTTTTTCATTCTGTTGATATATCACATGGATTGATTTTCATAGGTTGACCCATCCTTGCATTCCTGAAATAAATCCCACTTGGTCATGATGACTGATAGTTTCAATGTGTTGTTTAAACCAGTTTGCTAGTATTTTGTTAAGGATTTTTTCATCAATCTTCATCAGATATATTGGCTTTGGTTTTCTTTGTCTGGTTTTGGTATCAACGTAATACTGACCTCATAGGATGAGTTTGAATGTGCTTCCTTCTTCTCTATATCTTGGAATAGTTTGAGTAGGATTGGTATCAGTTCTTTAAATGTTTAGAATTTGGCAGTGAATCTATCAGATTCTGGACTTTTATTTATTAGAAAATGTTTTATTACAGCTTTATTCTTGTTACTTGTTATTGGTCTGCTCAGATTTTGAGTTTCCTTAAGGTTAAATTTTGTTAGGTTGTATGTGTCTAGAAATTTGTCCATTTCCTATGGATTTTTCAATTTATTGGTATATAGTTGCTCCTAGGAGCCGCTAATGAACTTTTGAATTTCATCAATATCCATTGTAATGTCTCTTTTTCAACTCTGATTTGATTTACTTGTGACTTCTCTCTTTTTTTCTTAATCTGGCTAAACATTTGTTAATTTTGCTTAACTTTTCAAAAGAAAACAACTTTCTGTTTTGTCTTTTATATTATTTTCTTTATTTCTGTTGCATTTATTTCCACTCTAATCTTTATTATTTTCTTTCTCCTACTAATTTTGAGTTCAGTTTATTCTTGCTTTTCTAGTTCTTTAAGATGCATTGTTAGGTTGTTTGTTTGGTTTTCCTTCTTTTTAAATGTAGGCACTTATAGCTATAAACTTCCACCTTAGTACTGCTTTTTCTGTATCCCATAGGCTTTTGTATATTGTGTGTCCATTATCATTTACTTCAGAAAAATTTTCAATTTCCTCCTTAATTTCTTAATTGACCCACTGGTGATTCAGGAGGATGTTGTTTACTTTCCATCTGTTTCTATGGCTTCCAAAATTCCTCTTGTTATTAATAACTTGTTTTACTGCATTGTGGTCAGAGAAGATTTTTGACATTATTTCCATCATTCGAATGTTTTACTTGTTTTGTGACTTAATATATGGTCTGTCCTTGAGAATGATCCATGTGCTGAGGAAAAGAATGTGTATTCTGCAGCTCTTGGATGAAATATTCTGTAAATATCTATTAGATCCATTTTGTCTATAGTGCAGATTAAGTCATGTTTATTTGTTTACTTTCTGTCTAGAAGATCTTTTCAATGCTGAAAGTGGGGTGTTGAAGCCTCCAGCTATCACTGCATTCGGGCCCATCTATGTAATGAATGCGAATAATATTTGCTTTATTTTTCTGGGTGCTGCAGTGTTAGGTGCATATATGTTTAAAAAATGTGTTTCTTGTATACAACAGATCAATGGGTCGTTTTTGTCCTCAGTCAGCCACTCTGTGTCTTTTGATTGGAAAGTTTATTCCATTTATATTCAATGTTATTATTGGTGAGTAAGGACTAACTCTTACTGCATTGTTTATTTGTTTTCTTGTTGTTTTGTGATCTTTTTGTTCTTTCCTTCCTTCTTGTCTTCTTTTCATTGAAGGTAATTTTCCCTGGTGATATGATTTAGTTCCTTGTTTTTTATTTTGTGTGTATATGTTGTATGTTTTCTGGTTTGCAGTTACCATAAGGCTTGCAAATACTATCTTATAACCCATTATTTTAAGCTGTTAACAACTTCACCCTGTTTGCAAAGGCAAACAAACAAAAAGAAAACTAATAAAGACCCTACACTACCTTTGTCATTCTGCTTTTTTACTTTTTATTGTTTCTATTTACAATATTATTGTATTGTCAAGGTCATAAAAAGGTTGAAGTTTTTATTTTTTATTGGTTCATCATTTAGTCTTTCTATTTAGGATAGAAGTAGTTTACACACCACAGTTACAGTGTTAAATTAGTCTGTGTTTTTCTGTGTACTTCCTGTTTGTTACCAGTAAGTTTGTACTTTTAGATGTATCTTATTGCTTGTCATCAACTTTCTCTTTCTGAATGAAGTACACTCTAGCATTTCTTGTATGACAGGTCTGGTGTTTATAAAGTCCCTCAGAAGCTTTTGTTTGCCTGGGAAAGACCTTATTTCTCTTCATGTTTGAAGGATACTTTAGCTACGTATGGTATGCTAGTGTAAATTTTTTTTTCAGCATGTTAAATATGTCCTGCCACTCTCTCCTGGCCTGTAAAGTTTCCACTAAAAAGTCTTCTGTCAGACATATTGCAGCTTTATTGTATTAAAGATGTTATTATTTCTTTACTTTCTCTTGTTTTTTTTTTGTTGTTGTTTGTTATGGATCTTGTATTAGTCCGTTTTCACTCTGCTGTAAAGAACTACTTGAAACTGGGTAATTTATTAAACAAAAATGTTCAATTGACTCACAGTTCCACAGGCTTAACGGGAAGCATAACTGGGAAGCCTCAAGAAACTTACAATCATGGTGGAAGATTAAGGGGAAGCAATGCACATTTTCCCATGATGGAGCAGGAGAGAGTGCCTGCTTAAGGCTGAAGAGCTCTTTACCACCTATGCCTGCTTAAGGCTGAAGAGCTCTTTAGTCAGCTTGCGGTGAATGCTGCCTGGCCTGTAACTCTCCTTTCAGTGCAGTGGGCTCCCCTCTGGCCCAGGGAACATCCCCAAATGCCATTCAAGTGCCACATCCTGGAATTGCAGACCTCAAGATCCCGCTTGGTTCTCTATTCCACTGTGGCTGAGATAATACCTAATGTGCAAAACAACCTCTCATTTACTTTACCCACTGCTTTTCTCAAGTGAAAGGAGTCCCACCTCATTTTGGCACATGCTGAGTCTTACCTGAAGCCAGACAGTCTCAGCTGCTCACCCAATGCAATCAATGTGGTACCTGGGTATTACTGCTGGATACTCAGGGCCCAAGGGCTCTTCAGGGAGCAGGTGGTATATCCTTCCAGGACTGGGTCCTTCCCTAAAGGCAGCAGGTTCCCTTCTGGCCCAGTTTATGCCTAGAAATGCCTCCCAGGATCCTTGGAATGGGGGCCTCAAACCTCTGACCAGTGCCCTATCCTGCTGTGGCTGAGCTGGTATCCAAAGTCCAAGACAAAGTCTTCACCACTCTTTCATCTTCTCTCTTCAAGCAGAGGGAAGGAGTCTCTTTTGGAGCCATGATCTATGTAGTCTGAGGCTAGGGGATGAGTGATACTAGCTCCTTTAGCTCCCCTAGCTGGATTCTCAATAGGTCATATACTCCCCAGTCCACTGGCTCATGGTCAAGTTCAGCACTAAGACTCACCTAGGAGTTGCAGTCTTTTTGGCTTAGACTCACTTTCAAGCTTATTTAAGGCCCCAGAGTACTTTGTCCCACTGTGTCAAGGCTTCCAGGAACTCAAGTTCTGACTGCTGGGATCAGCAATCACCCTTTGGCTAGGGCTGCTTTAAATATTTCCTTCACGTGTGGATGTCAGCTGAGTTTTTTTCTAGTTTTCTGCTATAAGAGGTCTGCACTAAGTTCAATGCCTCACAATTGCTACACTATTCCTCTCCTCAGTACACAGAAATGTTCTCCACACCAGGCTGCCGCTGCTGGGGGATGGGATAGCAGTGGCACTGGTGATTCAAGATTACCTTTTCAGTGCCTCTTTCAGTGACAGAAAATTAAAACTAGGTACTATGAGTGCTTACTTGATTTTTGGTCCTTATGAAGGTGTTTTCTTGGTGTAGACAATTGTAAAATTGGTGTCCTTGGGGATGATCAGTGGGGCTTTCCATTTTGCCATCTTGCTCTGTCCCCTTTTGATGTTGCTTTTCATTAATTACACCTTTAGCAAGAGAGTTCAATGGAAGAGACTTTTCATACCTGGTCTACTCTTCTTTTACTGAATAGAGTCTCCCTATTTAAGTCATTTAGTTTTGCATATCTCAGTTTTTCCATTTGTGAAATGGAGAGAAACATATTGAATATGTATCACTAGGTAACTGCAATAAAAGTAAGGTGTTTGAAAATAGAATACTTTAAATGAATATATAGGCAGCATTATTTACCATTCTCACACTAGTTTTTGTTTACCACTAATTAGGATCATATATATGAAATATCTTTTTACAACTATAAAATATTTAATATTCATTCACTGTTGCTGCACATTGAAGGATTTAGATACTTAGTGAAGTATCTAAAATCATTAAATTCATAGAATCAGAAAGTTGAACCATGATCACCAGAGCCTGGTTTGTCCCTGACTATGCATAAACGTATTCAGGTAAAAATATACCTACTGTTTCTTATTTCAATGAGTAAGGATAGAATAGCAATGGCTTGAAGTAGACTAGGTATTTTTTGTCACCCACAGAAATCTCAGAGTATGCATATGTGGATTTATTTGTTTGCTTATATTTTAAGGAGCTATAGCCTTTTGAGATATGCATAGTGTGTCACTGAGAGATATTTAATAGCTGTGAAAGCCAGTTTGTTGAGAAAATATAACAAGTATTAGATACAAAGCATTTTTTAGATATTATTTTATATATGTATGAGTATAGTATATGCATGTGTGTATATGTGTATCTGTATATTTTACTGATTGGCAGTAACTCATCGATATGCAACATAAGATCAAAAAACAAAGAACATCGGGCAGAAAGGTGAGGTATTTCATTAGTTAATAGAAGAATTTGAGGATTTCTGAGTTTCTTTCTAGCCCATGATTTTAAAATGATAGTAATAATGATAATAATAACAAAAATAACTGTACTCGTTAGCTATTTACTGCATGTTAGGCATGTCATATTTTATATTTTATCAAGTCACAATAACCTTGTTTGTTTGATATTATTACCCTTGTTAGGCAAATGACAGAAATTGAGGCTCAGACAGGTTTAATAATTTGCTGAAGTCTACACAGTAAGTACTGAAACAAAATGAGTTTAACTTGTGCTTCTTTATGACCTAATTTTAAAATATTTAGATATAACTTACATGCCACAACATTTACCCTTTAAAAGTGTACAATTCACTAGTTTTTACTGTATTCACAAAGTTGTAAATTTATCACAACTGATATGACTAGGCTTTGTGTCCCCACCCAAATGTCATCTTGAATTGTGATTCAAATCAGGATTTGAGCCCTGTGTCACAGCTGCTCCAGCTACGGCTAAAAAGGGCCAAGGTACAGCTCAGGCCATTGCTTCAGAGGGTTCAAGCCCTAAGCCTTGGCAGTTTTCACGTGTTGTTGGTTCTGTGGGTGCATGGAAGACAATAATTGAGGTTTGGAACCTCCACCTAAATTTCAGAGGATGTATGGAAATGTCTGGATGTCCAGGCACAGGTGTGCTGCAGGGGCAGAGCCCTCATTGAGAAACTCTGCTAGGGCACTGCAGAAGGGAAATATGGGGTGGAAGCCCCCACACAGAGTCATCACTGGGTCACTGATTAGTGAAGCTATGAGAAGAAGGCCACCATCCTCTAGACCCCAGAATGGTAGATCCACTGACAGCTTGCACCATACGCCTGGAAAAGCCATAGACATTAAATGCCAGACCACGAAAGCAGCCAGGAGGGGGGCTGTACCCTGCAAAGCCACAGGAATGGAGCTGCCCAAGGCACTGGGAGCCCACCTCTTGCATCAGCGTGACCTGAATGTGAGACATGGAGCCAAAGGAGATCATTTTGGAGCTTTGAGATTTCACTGCCCTACTGGATTTCAGACTTTCATGGGGCCTGTAGTGCCTGCACTTTGGCCAATTTATGACACTTGGAAAAGAGTGTCCAATGTCTCTACCCCTGTTGTATCTAGGAAGTAATTAATTTGCTTTTGATTTTATTGGCTTGTAGGTGAAAGAAACTTGTTTTATCTCATATGAGACTTTGGAATTGGACTTTTGAGTTAATGCTGCAATAAATAAAGTCTTTGGGGGACTGTTGGGAAGGCATGATTGGTTTTGA